>NC_000014.9:74914743-75066258 GCF_000001405.40 Homo sapiens | reverse complement strand
CTACCATTTCCCTCCCCAGTAGCTTCTTCTTTACCTATAGAATAAAGTTGAAATGCATAATTTAGCATGGCATCTCTACCTCCCAGATTAGGTCCAGCCTACCTTTTCAGTTTTGCCTCCCCTTAATAAGCCACAGAGTTCAACCCAGTGAGTCTCATCCCTGACTGTGTGTTAAGACTACTTGGAAAGCAATATCTAGGGGTGAGGCCTGAGGATTAACATTTTTAAAGCTTCCCCAAAGATCCTGATGCACAAGCAGGGTAGCAAACCCCTGGTCTAGCCACAACTGGCTACTTGTACTTCTTCATCTCCATGGTACTACATTACTCTAAGCTCCACATACTGGGAGCTGGTAGAGCATAGCATTCATGGGGATTGACTCTGGAACCAAATCCCAGCTCCATCACTTACTGGTTGTGTGACCTTGGATTAAATGCTGTTTCCTCCAAGAACTCTTTCCCTGTCTTCCCAATCAGAATTAATTTGTTTGCTCCTTTGTAATATTTTCTGTCCTTGTTATAGCACAGGGCTGGTTCCTGATGAGCTCTCAATGGATTTTCATGGAATTAAATTATCATGCCATATATTTTATTGTCATTATTTGCATGCATTTGTGCCCCTACACTAAATTAAAAACTCTTTGAGGGCAAAGATTTTATATCATTCATCTTTGTATATCCTAGAGTGCCCCATTCGTATTAGACACTCAGTAAGTTTTGAATTCTATAAACTATTTTTTAAATGAATTTTAGAGAAAGAAATACCATTAGCAAGATACTCTATTTAGAGTTATTTTCAAATATTGCCAAGTACAACATTCAATCCAGCTTGTTCACCACCAACCCCCCACCTCTCAGCACTAAGGTTGTATGATTCTCTAGGATATGGATCCTCACTCTAGCGGGGAACTAGCAGAATGATGAATTTCCGTGCCTACTGTCACAAACCCATATCTCATTGTCAAGTCTGCCAACCTGGCATATTCACATAAGGAGTCTTTACGTTATGAAGAGGTGTAATGTATACAGTCAATCCACAGAGGATCAATAAACACCACAGTTTTCCTTCACACACATGAATCATAAGGGTAGCTGGATTCAAATGTTTACACATCAACTCTAATTTTAACCATCTTCATCCACATCCCCCTTGACAATTCCCTGTTCCCAAAATAAATTCGTGTAGTTTGGCCATTTGGCTTAGATTGACTGACTCAACTGTAATTCTGGAGCCATGAGTTATTTTGCTTGTGCTCTTGCTTTATTTGTGTAGTTAGCTGGTTATTTGTTCAAGCATTATTTGACATTTTCTTAGTAAAGGAGACCGGTGAGTAGCTTCCAGAAGCCCAGAAGCAGACATAACCTCCATTGGGACCTCCTGTGCACTTATGCCCCGTAATCCCCTATTCCAGATTGTTATGACCCAAACTTTAAGGAGAACTGAATGAAAAAGGACAGAAAGGTTAAATGTATCCTACTCAACATATTTATGATGTTTATTTTTTTATTTATTAATTTATTTATTTGAGTCAGAGTCTCCCTCTGTTGCCCAGGCTGGAGTGCAGTGGGGCAATCTCGGCTCACTGCAGCCTCCACCTCCCAGGTTCAAGCGATTCTCCTGCCTCAGCCTCCCGAGTAGCTGGGATTACAGGCGCCCGCCACCATGCCCGGCCAATTTTTGTATTTTTGGTAGAAACGGGGTTTCACCATGTTGGCCAGGCTGCTCTCGAACTCCTGACCTCAAGTGATTCGCCCGTGTCGGCCTCCCAAAGTGCTGAGATTACAAGCTATTTATGATGTTTAATGTGTGCTGTTTGTCTCTCACCTCCAGAATTAAGCTCCTCAGGACAGGGATCCTGTTTTGTTCACTGATGTTTGCCTGGTCACCTAGAACAGGTGCCTGGCACACAGTAGCTGTCAGTCAGTATTTAATTGAATGATTGAATGTATCCCCATGTACTTCTTCGTCTATGCCTTTCTCCTCATGAGAAAATGAGAAGAGGGTTGCGCTTGTTGACTGAGATGCGATGAGGGCTAGGTTTGTGGAGGCCCAGCCGAGTTCCTGGACAGATCCCCAACCCAAAGCTTTTGGGTTGCCGGACAACCGCGTCCTGAAATCCCACCTTCTGGGCGGGCCCGGGCCGAGGCGCCGTCTCTGATTGGTCAGCTGGAGGTGATGGGCATGAGCGACAGCGAAGGAGCAGCTACACACTAAACTTCCGGGCGCGGAGGTTTGCGCGCCTTGGTGAGCCGTTGGCGTGGTGGTCCCGGAGTGATCCTGGCAGCCGGTGGGGAAGACAAGGAGGGTGAGCCGCCAGGGGCCCCCAGGGTGTGCTTCTCAGGTCGATTAGCCCTAAAATGTTAGTAGCAGGGGATTCTGGGAGTTAGTAGCAGGGAATTCTGGTAGTGAGGGAGCGGGACCGGGCATGGATGTAAGGAGGTCATCGGTCCTCAGGTTATTTCCCCAGAAGAGGCTTCAGCGGGCAGCTGCGATCCGAAGCTCCCTCTCCCGGCGTCTGGTTCTTCCTTCACACACACCTTATCACATCCACTCACGTTTCCATTTCCAGGACCTTGAAGTCGGGGAGAGGTCGCAATGGTTAAGGATGGACAGGGGTGGGTGTGGCCCTTTCTGACTCAGGCTTGCGGGTCCTGGAATAATAGCCCTTCACTCTTCTGCTTTCCTGGTTTCTGACAGGTTTGAGCATGGCAGAAGGAAACACCCTGATATCAGTGGATTATGAAATTTTTGGGAAGGTGCAAGGGGTGTTTTTCCGTAAGCATACTCAGGTATGTGGCCTGCAGGCTTTGGGGTGGTAACCTAGGTTGTGGGCATAGGAACAAGGGACGTGTTCTTGACAAATGTGAACTAGAAGCCGCTGGCTATTTGGTAGCTGCATGGCAAAGAGGTAGTTTGTAGAGCAATGAGTATGAAAATGCTGTGCAATCGGTAAAACATGGTGTAAATGGAAGATCACCCTGCTGTTATTATTAGTCAGTGGTGCCTGAGCATCTAGATACACATATTAATGAGCTTCTCTCTTCCAAGGGAAATAGAGGGCTTCCCCAGTGCTCGCCGTTGTGGCATCATCAAACCAAGTCAGGTTTCTTATAGAAAGGCTAACATTGATTGAAGAGCTGGCATTTAGATGACCTGATGTCATGTATATAACATATATAAATGCTTCCTCTGCAGCTGCTGCACTTTCTTCAGACCTCTTTCTCCAAGCTTCCCTCAGTTCTCCACTTAATTTCTTTCTATTCTTTTTTGGTTTTGAAAGAACATTTACCTTTTCCAGCTGACGTTTTTCTTATTAAAAACTCTTTATCCATTCCAGAATAGGTGATGGGAACACTGAATGTGGAGCCTGGTATTCTTCCTAGAGCAATAAAGGATTATTTGAGGGGATGGACAAACTGTTGGCAGCCTCTACCTCTGCTTTAATGTGGCTAATCTTCCCTCAACAGGCACACACAAATGCAAGCTCAATTTACCCTCTGCCTTCTGTAGGTATTGGCTATTGCCTTCCCAGTGTGTCGCTAATCCCACAGATAATGAGTTAGGACTGCAAAACTTCTTTTTTTTTTTTTTTTTTTTTTGTATTTTTAGTAGAGACAGGGTTTCACCATCTTGGCCAGGCTGGTCTTGAACTCCTGGCCTCGTGATCCATCCGCCTCAGCCTCCCCAAGTGCTGGGATTACAGGTGTGAGCCACCGCACCCGGCCAGGACTGCAGAACTTCTTAAGTGTCTCATTCCTGGGACTGTGGTACTTAAAATTCAAATTCTAACCTGGAAGGAATCTTTGAAACATGAATGTGAATTGTCAATACCTCTTTCCCTTTTTCTTTTTTTTTTCTGAAGGATGGTGGCACAGTCACAGCTTATTGCAGCCTTAACCTCCCAGGCTCAAATGATCCTCCTTCCTCAGCCTCCCAAGTAGCTGGGACCACAGGTGCATGCCGCCACACCCAGCTTTTTTTTTTTTTTTCTCTTTTAACAGAGAGCTATGTTGCCCAGGCTGGTCTCAAACTCCCAGGCTCAAGTGATCCTTCTGCCTCGGCCTCCCACCAGTGTGCTGGGATTACAGGCATGAGTGACCATACCCAGCCAATACCTCTTTTTCTTTTCTTTTCTTTTTTTTTTTTTTTTTTTTTTTGAGACAGAGTTTCATTCTTTTTGCCCAGGCTGGAGTGCAATGGCACGATCTCAGCTCACCGCAACGTCCGCCTCCCGGGTTCAAGCGTTTCTCCTACTTCAGCTTCCCAAGTAGCTGAGATTACAGGCATGTGCCACCATGCCCCGCTAATTTTGTATTTTTAGTAGAGACAGGGTTTTTCCATGTTGGTCAGGCTGGTCTTGAACTCCCAACCTCAGGTGATCCGCCCACCTTGGCCTCCCAAAGTGTTGGGATTACAGGTGTGAGCCACTGTGCCCGGCCAATACCTCTTTTTCTAATTATTCAAAAATCATTTCTTCCCATCTGACACTCAAATAGGAAATGACTGTTGAAAACAGAATTGCTGAAACTCACAGCAAGAGCTGTGTTCCAGTTAGCTTTGCTACCAGTTATGCAGGTAAGTTCCTGTAAATTAAGGTGATTGAGATAACAGCTTCAAAGATTAGTCAAAGTTGTTGAGGGAAAAGGGTCAGATAGTGGTATGCATAGCCCATCTTTCTCTACCTGCCCCTCTCCCCAGTTTAAAGAGAGAATAACAGAATGCAGAAAAACAAATATTGATTGGAAAACTGCATATAAAATGACATCTATTTTTTCTTAATTAGGCTTGTAGCTTATTCTTTACTATTTATAATCATTTAAATATATATGTTCATTTGAACAGTTGTTTTGCTGCAATGTTTGCTGTTGATATTATCTAGCCTCTTATTTAAATTCCTTCATTTCTAGAGAAGTGACAAATAATAATTCAGGGACTTTTGAAAACTTGGAATATAATTTACATCCCATAAAACCCATCCTCCTAAAGTGTATAATTTGGTGATTTTTAGTATATTCACAAAATGTTGCACTAATTCCAGAACATTTTCATCATCCCAAAAAGAAACCCCTACCTAGGTTAGCACTCACTCCTCATCCCCTGAGCCCCTGGCAACCACTAACCTACTTTCTGTCTCTATGGATTTGCCTATTCTAGATTGTTGTTGTTGTTGTTGTTGTTGTTGAGACAGAGTCTCAACTCTGCCTCATTCTGTCACCCAGGCTGGAGTGCAGTGGCGTGATCTCGGCTCACTGCAACCTCTGCCTCCTGGGTTCAAGTGATTCTTCTCCCTCAGCATCCCAGGTAGCCGGGATTACAGGCATGCACCACCATGCCCAGTTAACTTTTGTATTTTTAGTAGAGATGGGGTTTCACCATGTTGGCCAGGCTGGGTCTTGAACTCCTCACCTCAGGTGATCCACCTACCTCAGCCTCCCAAAGTGCTGGGATTACACGCATGAGCCACCGTGTTCAGCCTATTCTTGATATTTAATATAAATGGAATCATACAAATGTGGCCTTTTTTTGTGACTGGCTCCTTTCACTTAACATATTGTTTTCAAGGTTTATCTACACTGTAGCATGTATTAGTATCCTATTCCTTTTTATGGCTGAATAATATTCCATTGTATGGATATACCACATTTCATTTATCCATTCATCAATTGATGGAAATTTGGGTTTCTGATTTTTGGCCATTATGAATAGTAGTGCTGTGAACACATATGCACATATTTTTATGTAGACAATGTTTTCAGTTCCATTGAGTATATACATACCTAGGAGTAGATTGCTGGGTCATATGGTAACTTTATGTTTAGCTTTTTGAGGAACTGCCAAACTTTTCCAAAGTAGCTATACCATATTATGTTCTCACTGGCAATGTGTGAGAATTCCAGTTTGTCCACATCCTTGCCAACAATGGTTACTGTCTTTTATGTTAGCCATCCTAGTGGGTATGAGGTAATATTTCATTGTGGTTGTTTGTTTGTTTTTCAGGTATTAATGAATTTAAAAGGATTTAAATCAAGGAATGTTCTCCAACTACAGTGGAACTAAACCACATTAAAAAAATAAAAAGGATAACTGGAAAATCCCAAAATATTTGGAAACCATATAGCACACTTACTTCTAAAATTGTGGTAGAATACATATAACATAGAAATTATTGTTCTAACCATTTTTAAATGTACAATTCAGTGGTCTTAAGCACATTCACATTGTTCTGTTTATCTACAGAACGCTTTTCATCTTGCAAAACTGAAACTCTGTATTCATTAAACACTAACTCCCCATTTTCTCCTTCCCCCATGCCCCTGACAATCATAAATCTACATTCTATTAATTCAACTGCTCTAGTTACCTCATATAAGTGGAATTTTACAGTATTTGTCCTTTTGTGGCTGGCTTATTTCACTTAGCATAATATCCTCAGGGTTCATCTGTGTTATATCATGAAAGTAAAAACAATTTCCTTTCTTTGTAAGACGGAATAATATCCTGTTGTATGTGTATACTTTCAGTGTGGTTTTGATTTGCCTTCCTAATGACTAATGATGTTGAGCATCTTTTCATGTGCTTATTGGCATATTTTATGTCTGCTTTGAAGAAATGTCCATTCAAATATTTTTGCCCATTTTTAGTTATTTGCCTCCTTATTCTTGAGTTGTAAGAATATTTTTATTCTGGATACTAGTCCCTTATCAGATGTATGATATACAAATATTTCTCCCATTCTGTGGGTTGTCTTTTTAATTTCTTGATAGTGTCTGTGAAGTACAAAAGTTTTTACTTTTGATGAAGTCAAATCAAATTTATCTGTTCTTTTTTTGCTTGCACTTTTAGTGTTATATCTAAGAAATCTTCCTAATCCAAGGTCATGAAGGTTCATGCCTATGTTTTTTGTTTGTTTTGTTTTTGTTTTTTGTAGCAACTGGGTTTCCCCATGTTGCCTGGCTGATCCTGACCTCAAGCAATCTGCCCACCTCAGCCTCCCAAAGTGCTGGGATTACAGGTGTGAGCCACCACACCCAGCTGCTGTCATGCCTATGTTTTCTTTTCCTTTTTTTTTTTTTTTTTTTTTTAAGACAGAGTCTCGCTCTGTGCAGTGGCGCGATCTCGATCTCGGCTCACTGCAACCTTCCGCCTCCAGGGTTCAAGCGATTCTCCTGAGTAGCTGAGATTACAGGTGTGCTATATCACGCCCAACTAATTTTTGCATTTTTAGTAGCGACGGGGTTTCACCATGTTGGTCAGACTGGTCTCGAACTCCTGACCTCGTGATCCACCCGCCTCAGCCTCCCAAAGTGCTGGGATTACAGGCGTGAGCCACCGCGCCCAGCCGCCTATGTTTTCTTCAAAATTTCATAGTTTACACTCTTAGATTGAGGTCTTTGATCCAGTTTGAGTTAATTTTTATGTGATGTGAGGTAGGAAATCCAGCTTTATTCTTTTGCATATGAATATCCAGTTGTCCCAGCACCATTTGTTGAAGTGAGTATTATTTCCCACATTCGTCATAGCACCCTTTTCAAAAATCAACATAAATGTAAGGATTTATTTCTGGACTCTCAATACTATTCCATTCATCTATATGTCTGCCTGCTGTAGTTGAGATGTTTGTCCCCTTCAAATCTCATGTTGAAATTTGATCCCCAGTGTTGAAAGTGGGACATAATGGGAGATGTTTGAGTAATGGGGCCAGGTCCCTCATGAGTAGATTAATGCTCTTCCTGGGGGGTGGGAGGGTCAATGAAGTCTTACTCTATTAGTTCCCTGGAGAACTGGTTGTTATTTTTATTTATTTTTTTTGAAACGGAGTCTTGTTCTTGTCGCCCAGGCTAGAGTGCAGTGACACAATCTCGGCTCACTGCAACCTCTGCCTCCAGGGTTCAAGCAATTCTCCTGCCTCGCCCTCCCAAGTGGCTGGGATTACAGGCACCCGCCACCACACCCAGCTAATTTTTGTATTTTTAGTAGACACAGGGTTTCACCGTGTTGGCCAGGCTGGTCTCAAACTCCTGACCTCAGGTGATCCGCCCGCCTCAGCCTCCCAAAGTGCTGGGATTACAGGTGTGAGCCACCGTGCCCGGTGAGAACTGGTTGTTAAAAAGAGCCTGGTACCCCACCTCTTCCCACCCCTGCCTCACAGTGGAAACAGCCTAAGGCCCTCACCTGATGCCAGTGACAGTCTCATGCTTATACAATCTACAGAATCATGAGTCAAATAAACCTCTTTTCTTTATAAATTACCCAGCCTCAGCAGGTAGTTCTTTTTTTTTTTTTTTTTTTTTTTTGAGACAGAGTCTTGCTCTGTTGCCTAGGCTAAAGTGCAGTAGTGCGATCTCGGCTCACTGCAACCTCCACTTCCTGGGTTCAAGCAATTCTCCTGCCTCAGCCTCCTGAGTAGCTGGGATTACAGGCACCCACCACTGCGCCCGGCTAATTTTTGTATTTTTAATAGACGGCGTTTCACCGTCTTGGCCAGGCTGATCTCGAACTCCTGACCTCATGATCCCCCCACCTCGGCCTCCCAAAGTGCTGGGATTACAGGTGTGAGCTACCACGCCTGGTCCTCAGGTAGTTCTTTATAGCAACACGAAATGGTCTAAGCCACTATCCTTATGCCAGTACCACACTGTCTCAGTTACTGCAGCTTTGTAGTAAGTTTTGAAATTGGGAAGTGTGAATCCTTCAACTTTGTTTTTCCTTTTCAAGATTATTTCTAGCTATCCTGGGTCCCTTATGTTTCCATGTAAATTTTAGTATCAATTTTTCGATTTCTGCAAAAGCACTGGGATTTTGATAGAGATTGAGTTGAATCTGTAGATCAATTGGGTAGTAATATCATCTTAACAATGTTAAGTATTTCAATACATCAGTAAGGGATGTCTTTCCATTTATTTAGATACTCTTTAATTTCTTTCAAGAATGTTTTGTAGATTTCCATATATGTCGTGCAATTCTTTTGTTAAATTTATTCCTAGACACTCTATCTTTTTGATGCTATTATAAATGGAATTGTTTCCTAATTTCATTTTCAGTTTTTCATTGCTAGTGTATAGAAATACAATTGATTTTTGTATATCAATCTTATATCCTACAACCTTGTGAGACTGTTAATTAGCTCTAGTGTGTGCCTGTGTATGTTTCTTAGGACTTTTTGTATACAAGATATGTCATCTACAAATAGAGGTAGTTCTGCTTTTTCCTTTCCAATCTGAATGCCTTTTCTTTCTCCTGCTGTGGATAGACCCTCAAGTATAATATTGAGTAGAGTGGTAACAGCAGACATCCTTGTCTTGTTCCTGATCTTCGTGGGAACGTTTTTAATCTTTCACCATTAAGTATGATGTTAGCAGTGGGTTTTTCACAGATTCCCTTTATCAGGTTGAGGAAGTTTCCTTCTGTTCCTAGTTTGTTGAGTGTTTTGATCATAAAAGAGGTATTGGTTTTTGTCAAATGCTTTTTTGCCATCTATTGAGATGATCATATAGCTTTTGTTTTATTAATATGGTGTATTAAATTGATTACTTCTTGTATATTGAACCAACCTTGAAAGAAATCCTAGTTTGTCATGGTATACAATTCTTTTTCTGTGTTGCCTGATTTGGTTTGCTAGTATTTTGCTGATGATTTTTGCATCTCTGTTCATAAGAGATATTGGTCTATGGTTTTTTGGTTGTTTTTTCTCGTGACAGCTTTGTTTTTGGGAGGCTGAGGAAGGAGGATCATTTGAGCCTGGGAGGTTAAGGCTGCAATAAGCTGTGACTGTGCCACCATCCTTCAGAAAAAAAAAAGAAAAAGGAAAAGAGGTATTGACAATTCACATTCATGTTTCAAAGATTCCTTCCAGGTTAGAATTTGAATTTTAAGTACCACAGTCCCAGGAATGAGACACTTATTTTTCATTTTTATTTTTTAGCTTTAGTTTTAGTATGAGGATAATGCTGGCTTAATAAAATGTGTTGGGAAGTGTTTCCTCTTCTTTTTTTTAACCCTTAATTCTTGGTTTGGATCTTCTTCTATTTTTTGGAAGAGTTTGTGAAGGGTTGGTAAAGGATTTTTTTTTAAACATTTGGTAGAATTTACCCATGAAGCCATCTGGTCCTGGGCTTTTTATCTGTGGGAAGTTTTTGATTACAAATTCCATCTCTTGGTATAGGTCTATTCAGACTTTCTATTTCTTCTTGATTCAGTTTTGGTTGTTTGTCTTTCTAGGTATTAGGTTTGTTTTCATCCAAAAAAATTTAATCTAATTTTTTGGCATATAATTGTTCATAGAATTCCCTTTTATCCTTTTTATCTTTGTAAGGTTGGTGGTAATGTCTCCTTTTATTTCTGATTTTAGTAATTTGAGGCTTTCATCCGTTTTTCTTTATCAGTCTAGCTAAAGGTTGTCAATTTTGTTGATCCTGTCAAAGAAGCAACTTTTGTTTTATTGATTTTCTCTATTCTTCTGCTTTCCATTAATTTCTGCTCTAATCTTTATTTCCTTCTTTCTGCTCATTTTGAATTCAGTTTGCTCTTCTTTTTCTAGTATCCTAAGGTGGAAATCTTGATTATTGATTTGAAGAGAGTTTCTTTTTAGATTGCAACTAGAGGTGGTGATTACAGTCCTTGAAATGTTGTCAGATGATTGTTTAAGCAAAAATATGGTTATGAGGTAGAATTCACTTTTTGGAATTTTCTTAGGGGAGAAAAACCCTGTTGGTGCAATAGATATTCAAAACTGAACATGAGTCAATAACATTATGTCATCATTAAAAAAATAAGAACAGAGTTGAGCACACAAATGAAACCAGTAGGAAACGCCCATTCTCAACACTGGTCAAATTTTGGAGTGTTCTGTTCAACTCTCAAGAGTTCAGATAAGGCCAGGTGCAGTGGCTCATGCCTGTAATCCCAGCACTTTGGGAGGCCGAGGCAGGCGGATCATGAGGTCAGGAGATCGAGACCATCCTGGCTAACACAGTGAAACCCCATCTCTACTAAAAATACAAAAAAATTAGCCGGGAGTGGTTGCGGGCGCCTGTGGTCCCAGCTACTGGGGAGGCTGAGGCAGGAGAATGGCATAAACCTGGGAGGCGGAGCTTGCAGTGAGCTGAGATCACGCCACTGCACTCCAGTCTGGGCGACAGAGCGAGACTCCGTCTCAAAAAAAAAAAAAAAAAAAAAAAAAGAGTTCAGATAAATCACATTGCAAATTTTTAAAGATTTATTTGACTGTGACAACCTCCTGTTTAAAACTGCACATTCTTACAGCTATTTACCATATAAGATAACTCTTAAGAACTGGAGATAGTCAGCTCCCCTGGGTTAATTTGAAGCAGAAGAGGGCAGTTGTTATACTGCCCTGTCAGTTGGATGCGGAGTCTTACTCAAAATTCATTCTCAGCATTCTTCTTTTATGGTATCTTCTTTGGCACTTAGCAGCGCATCAGGTAGGCATCTTCTATTTTTCTTCATTCCTTAATTTCCTTTGTATCCCTCAAATGGTTATTTATTTGGCTGGAGTCTGTTTTGTTCATTAAGCAAACATGTCTTTGCTTTGAACATGTCTTTGATTTGATGGATACTTAAATTCCTCATCAAACATTTTGTTGCTATGCATAACGTTTTCTTTGGCCAACTCCAGCAATTTCCCACATTTTGACATGCAATCATGTTAACTCCCATTTTCTTTTGTAATCCAACATCTTCTATTTAGATAATTACTTTAACAATCAATGACTTAATATTCTAATCATAAATTTATACAAAAATAAAATTACCTCCAAAACATTGCTACCTTTCCTAAACATTCAGTCTTGCCACAGTTTAATAAAAGGAAAGAACATTAAAAAGGATAAGACACTGTAATGATTAGATGCTTTTTATAAGCCTAAAGGCATTGTGATTATTTAGACAGAAGAGAAGAAAGTGAAGTGAAAACCTGATAGTTATGTAGTCTCATGGTTTGCTGTTGAGAGGCTGAACACCAGCTGCTTTCCTTTTCTAGGAAGATAATAAAGTGGGCTTTGGCTACAACATAAAGATGTTGGGTTAGACAGTTTCACTACAGTAAGAACAACGGGATGAGTTGCCCAGGAAATTGTGAAATACTTTCTAATGATCTTTAAAGATATAATGAACACTAATTCATCTGGATTTGTTTACGTGTGGTCCTGGTTAAAGGCAAAGGGAAGGATCAGATAACTTCATGTTTTTTCCATTTAACATACCCAATAGATTCTTGATTAGGGGAAGGGAAAATGAGCAAGATACAGTCCAGTATTCTAAAAACAATCAGCCTTAGGGGATCATTTCAAAAGCATCTGTTTTGGACTTAAGTCTTTGATACTTAACCAAATTGACTACACAGTGAAAAATTCTAGTGCCTGGGTTTTATAGGGTAGAAGAAAGACATGCAGTCAAGTGGCCAATACTTCATGTGAAGATAAGCAATGAGATCCTTCTTGCTGTCTTTCTTTTGACTGTTCTGGGCAATATCAAATTAGTTTCAGTGGCTTGATTCTAGGCCAAGATTCTGGCAACAGATTGTAGTCTTACCTTGTTTTCTTCAATCTCACTGGATCTCTCTCTCTTTTTACCCCCCTTAGGCTGAGGGTAAAAAGCTGGGATTGGTAGGCTGGGTCCAGAACACTGACCGGGGCACAGTGCAAGGACAATTGCAAGGTCCCATCTCCAAGGTGCGTCATATGCAGGAATGGCTTGAAACAAGAGGAAGTCCTAAATCACACATCGACAAAGCAAACTTCAACAATGAAAAAGTCATCTTGAAGTTGGATTACTCAGACTTCCAAATTGTAAAATAATGGCCTGAATTTAAGTTTTCTAAGATAAACTCAGTGGTTTGGTTTTTATTATTAATAGAGATAGAACTATTGTGTGTTAATATTAGCATTAGTCAATAAGTTATTTTAATGTCAGATTTTTGAATGTTATTATATATTACCTGTATGATGGAAGGATTACCACTGTACACAAATCTAATCAATAAAAACGTTAGAACCTTCTGCTTAGAGTACTTTTAAAAAATCTTCAGTGAACTTCCTTTTGGGCGAAATGAGAGGTCTTTATTCAGTAAACATTTGTAGGAAGAGGATTTTGAGGTAATTTAAAGAGGTCTGAAAGAAAAAAAGTCTGAGTCATTTCTTTAAATGGTTTCTATGAAATGTTCTTCAAGAAATTCCATGCCTAATAAGAACAAATACCACAAGTTCAATTTGTTAGCTCTGTTCACCTTATGTTTGGATGAATTACTTCTGCTGTTGTTTCTTTTCTCTGGGTAAGGAATTCACATAAAGTTATGTTATGGGCTGAACTGTGTCCCACCAAATTCATATGTTAAAGTCTCAGTCCCCAGTACCTCAGAAAGTGACTGTATTTGGACATAGGGCCTTTAAAGAGGTGATTAAGATTAAATGAGGCTGTGAGGGTGGGCCCTAATCCAATCTGACTGGTGTTCTTATAAGAGAACATATTGGCTATAGACACGTGTGCAAAAATCAAAGACCCTGTGAAAATGGCCATCTACAAGCCAAGGAGAGAGGCCTCAGGAGAAATCGTTGCTGCCAACACCTTGATCTCAGACTTCCAGTCTCTAGAACTGAGAGGAAATAGACTTCTGCTGCTTAAGCTACTCAGTCTGAGGTATTTTGTTATGGCAGCCCTAGGTATAGTAATAATCATAAACAGTTATCAGGATTTTGCTTAATCAGCCCTAGAAGACTGGTTGGTTGGGTTTGGTTAGTCACTAAACTAGCATATATCAAATGCTTACCAGGTCTGACAAATTCGTTATAAATTCCACTTTAAATTCTCAATGAAAATGAGATAGAAAGCAAAAACTAAGGACTGGTTAACAATTCCAAAACACTTTATTCTCACAGCATTCTCAGAGTTCTGCTCTCCTTTAGTTATTTTTATAACTAAAAGCTGTGGTGGCACTGGGGAGATTCAAGTCAGTGAAGAGAGTCTTGGTGTTGTCATCTGTAAATTAAGAGTTGAGCAAAGGCCGGGTGCGGTGGCTCACGCCTGTAATCCCAACACTTTGGGAGGCCGAGGCGGGCAGATCACCTGAGGTCCGGAGTTCGAGACCAGCCTGACCAACATGGAGAAACCCCCGTCTCTACTAAAAATACAAAATTAGCCGAGTGTGGTGGCGCATGCCTGTAATCCTAGCTACTCGGGAGGCTGAGGCAGGAGAATCACTTGAACCCTGGAGGCGGAGGTTGCAGTAAGCTGAGATCGCACCACTGAATTCCAGCCTGGGCAACAAGAGCTAAACTCCGTCTCAAAAAAAAAAAAAAAAAAAAAAAGAGTTGAGTTAGACAGTTTCTCAGCCTTTTCCAGCTCCAAATGCCATAATTCTAAGATGGCAGGCTCTGGAATTATTCATTCATTCGGTGCCTACCATAGGCCAGGCACTGTTCTTGGTAACTGGGATACAGCAGTAAACAAAATATATAAACTCCTTACCTTCACATAGCTTACATTCTAGGGAGAGAAGACAATAAGTAAACACATAAAATATATATTGAATTAAACGGTAGTTAAGAGCAAAGGTGAAAATGAGAAAAAAAAGGAAAGGGAAAACACGGGAAAAAAAAATAAAAACAAAAGTAAAAGCTACGACATAGTCTTTAACACCATGCCAAAAGGGAATAAGGATTGAGACTGTAGGTACCGGTTCACTGAACCCTGGGATGCGGATCCTTGGCTGGAACAACTGGTGCGCATGCGCACTGGTGTCTCGCGGCCTGGCGCGCCCCCTCCGAAGCGCATGCTCGTGGGCACGCACGAGCCTCAAGATCCAAGGTGCGCGCGTCGGCGTCCGAGGCGGTTGGTGTCGGAGAATTTGTTAAGCGGGACTCCAGGTGACTCTGGGGGAAGCACGCGACGAAAAGATGATGCCGGGGTCTCTTCTAACACCAGAAGGGCCCTGATGATGGCTGCGCGCAGCTTTCGGAGCCGGATGCGCGAGGGCCCCGGAGGCCCGGCGGCCTGGCGGCCGGGCGGGCCCAGTTTGGGGACAAGGACGGGGCTGGCCAGGGAGGGGCTGGGCCTGGCGGGAAGGCAGCGCTGCCCCGGACTCGGCCCGCGCGGCCCTCCCAGGCCCCCGTGCCCTGGATCCAGGCCCGTGCGTCCCGTCAGTCCCAGGCGCTGGGAGGCGTCATCAGGAAATCATTGGGTTTACATTAATCGGAATACTTGTTAAACGTTTACCCGTCAGTTGCTGCCGGCTGCTTAGTGCATTAGCTTAGAAAGCAGCAGAAATTCTGCAGTTAAGAGCCCTGATTTGTCCCGAGTTTGGAAAACCGGCCCCACCGCCTGCAGGGGCCCACCCACGTGGCTCTCACTGATGGAGAAGAAGGGGAGACCTTTAATGGCACTGGAATCTTAGGGTTTGGTTTTTTTTGTTTTGTTTTTTGTTTTTGTGTTTTCACTTGCAGGAAAACTTAAAATCAAGTTCAGGCAGCCCCATGCCATCATTATTATTACCAAGGTAGTTTATGCCCATCTGTAAAGACCAAAAGAATATTAATAATGACCTTCTGGCCGGGCGCGGTGGTTCACACCTGTAATCCCAGCACTTTGGGAGGCCAAGGCGGGAGGATCACTTGAGTTCAGGAGTTCGAGACCAGGCTGGTTAACATGGTGAAACCCCATCTCTACATAAGAGACAAAAATTAGCCAGGCATGGTGGCGAGCGCCTGTAATCCCAGCTACTCGGGAGGCTAAGGCTGGAGGATTGCTTGAGCCCGGGAGGTGCAGGCTGCAGTGAGCCGAGATTGTGTCATTGCACTCCAGCCTGGGTGACAGAGTGAGACTGTTTCAAAAAAGAATAATAACGACTTTCTAAAAACATCAGAGTAATACATGAACAGGATTTAACAATCAAATGGCAAAGAAAGGTTTATATGAAAAGGAATTTTCCTGCTTTATCTTTTCCCATTCCCAGCCTCTTTCCCTGAGGTGACTATACTTAACCATAATAATAATAACCTCTTAATGCCCCCAATCTCTCTTTGATACAATTTGATTCTTAAAATTTCTTCCTATTGCTTCACCTTATTACAATGTCTTAGCAATTCATTATAAGTATTTTTCTAAAAGTCATGGTTATTGTGTAATGTATAAATGTTATGAAACTAGCTTGGACATTTTTGTCATGAATAATTTCTAGCTAATGTTCCTTAGCTGTATTTAATTTAGGCATCTGTTTTTGGTGAAGTGGTTAGAATTTCGAATACTGTGTTTACTGGTCAACTTCAAGTGTAATTATGATTTCACTTTAGGACATGTGGGATTTAGAAAGGAGCATTGAAAATTATGAAATTATGAATTTTTTTTGGATGTTAATCCATTGCACCAAGCATGAGCTGTGCCTAGAGATCAGCGGTATAACTTTGTTTTGCTTTGTTTCACAATTTGGTTTAATAAGAGTGATTTCATTTACCTCAAGTGCTATTTCTTCATAATGCTGTGTAATGCTAAAGCTTTGATTATGTGCGTGTGTGGTTTTTTTCTCCAATAGGCAATTATTTCCAGTCAGAGAAGGAAACCAGTGCCTGGCATTCTCACCATCTTTCTACCTACCATGATCAAGTGCTTGTCAGTTGAAGTACAAGCCAAATTGCGTTCTGGTTTGGCCATAAGCTCCTTGGGCCAATGTGTTGAGGAACTTGCCCTCAACAGTATTGATGCTGAAGCAAAATGTGTGGCTGTCAGGGTGAATATGGAAACCTTCCAAGTTCAAGTGATAGACAATGGATTTGGGATGGGGAGTGATGATGTAGAGAAAGTGGGAAATCGTTATTTCACCAGTAAATGCCACTCGGTACAGGACTTGGAGAATCCAAGGTTTTATGGTTTCCGAGGAGAGGCCTTGGCAAATATTGCTGACATGGCCAGTGCTGTGGAAATTTCGTCCAAGAAAAACAGGACAATGAAAACTTTTGTGAAACTGTTTCAGAGTGGAAAAGCCCTGAAAGCTTGTGAAGCTGATGTGACTAGAGCAAGCGCTGGGACTACTGTAACAGTGTATAACCTATTTTACCAGCTTCCTGTAAGGAGGAAATGCATGGACCCTAGACTGGAGTTTGAGAAGGTTAGGCAGAGAATAGAAGCTCTCTCACTCATGCACCCTTCCATTTCTTTCTCTTTGAGAAATGATGTTTCTGGTTCCATGGTTCTTCAGCTCCCTAAAACCAAAGACGTATGTTCCCGATTTTGTCAAATTTATGGATTGGGAAAGTCCCAAAAGCTAAGAGAAATAAGTTTTAAATATAAAGAGTTTGAGCTTAGTGGCTATATCAGCTCTGAAGCACATTACAACAAGAATATGCAGTTTTTGTTTGTGAACAAAAGACTAGTTTTAAGGACAAAGCTACATAAACTCATTGACTTTTTATTAAGGAAAGAAAGTATTATATGCAAGCCAAAGAATGGTCCCACCAGTAGGCAAATGAATTCAAGTCTTCGGCACCGGTCTACCCCAGAACTCTATGGCATATATGTAATTAATGTGCAGTGCCAATTCTGTGAGTATGATGTGTGCATGGAGCCAGCCAAAACTCTGATTGAATTTCAGAACTGGGACACTCTCTTGTTTTGCATTCAGGAAGGAGTGAAAATGTTTTTAAAGCAAGAAAAATTATTTGTGGAATTATCAGGTGAGGATATTAAGGAATTTAGTGAAGATAATGGTTTTAGTTTATTTGATGCTACTCTTCAGAAGCGTGTGACTTCCGATGAGAGGAGCAATTTCCAGGAAGCATGTAATAATATTTTAGATTCCTATGAGATGTTTAATTTGCAGTCAAAAGCTGTGAAAAGAAAAACTACTGCAGAAAACGTAAACACACAGAGTTCTAGGGATTCAGAAGCTACCAGAAAAAATACAAATGATGCATTTTTGTACATTTATGAATCAGGTGGTCCAGGCCATAGCAAAATGACAGAGCCATCTTTACAAAACAAAGACAGCTCTTGCTCAGAATCAAAGATGTTAGAACAAGAGACAATTGTAGCATCAGAAGCTGGAGAAAATGAGAAACATAAAAAATCTTTCCTGGAACATAGCTCTTTAGAAAATCCGTGTGGAACCAGTTTAGAAATGTTTTTAAGCCCTTTTCAGACACCATGTCACTTTGAGGAGAGTGGGCAGGATCTAGAAATATGGAAAGAAAGTACTACTGTTAATGGCATGGCTGCCAACATCTTGAAAAATAATAGAATTCAGAATCAACCAAAGAGATTTAAAGATGCTACTGAAGTGGGATGCCAGCCTCTGCCTTTTGCAACAACATTATGGGGAGTACATAGTGCTCAGACAGAGAAAGAGAAAAAAAAAGAATCTAGCAATTGTGGAAGAAGAAATGTTTTTAGTTATGGGCGAGTTAAATTATGTTCCACTGGCTTTATAACTCATGTAGTACAAAATGAAAAAACTAAATCAACTGAAACAGAACATTCATTTAAAAATTATGTTAGACCTGGTCCCACACGTGCCCAAGAAACATTTGGAAATAGAACACGTCATTCAGTTGAAACTCCAGACATCAAAGATTTAGCCAGCACTTTAAGTAAAGAATCTGGTCAATTGCCCAACAAAAAAAATTGCAGAACGAATATAAGTTATGGGCTAGAGAATGAACCTACAGCAACTTATACAATGTTTTCTGCTTTTCAGGAAGGTAGCAAAAAATCACAAACAGATTGCATATTATCTGATACATCCCCCTCTTTCCCCTGGTATAGACACGTTTCCAATGATAGTAGGAAAACAGATAAATTAATTGGTTTCTCCAAACCAATCGTCCGTAAGAAGCTAAGCTTGAGTTCACAGCTAGGATCTTTAGAGAAGTTTAAGAGGCAATATGGGAAGGTTGAAAATCCTCTGGATACAGAAGTAGAGGAAAGTAATGGAGTCACTACCAATCTCAGTCTTCAAGTTGAACCTGACATTCTGCTGAAGGACAAGAACCGCTTAGAGAACTCTGATGTTTGTAAAATCACTACTATGGAGCATAGTGATTCAGATAGTAGTTGTCAACCAGCAAGCCACATCCTTAACTCAGAGAAGTTTCCATTCTCCAAGGATGAAGATTGTTTAGAACAACAGATGCCTAGTTTGAGAGAAAGTCCTATGACCCTGAAGGAGTTATCTCTCTTTAATAGAAAACCTTTGGACCTTGAGAAGTCATCTGAATCACTAGCCTCTAAATTATCCAGACTGAAGGGTTCCGAAAGAGAAACTCAAACAATGGGGATGATGAGTCGTTTTAATGAACTTCCAAATTCAGATTCCAGTAGGAAAGACAGCAAGTTGTGCAGTGTGTTAACACAAGATTTTTGTATGTTATTTAACAACAAGCATGAAAAAACAGAGAATGGTGTCATCCCAACATCAGATTCTGCCACACAGGATAATTCCTTTAATAAAAATAGTAAAACACATTCTAACAGCAATACAACAGAGAACTGTGTGATATCAGAAACTCCTTTGGTATTGCCCTATAATAATTCTAAAGTTACCGGTAAAGATTCAGATGTTCTTATCAGAGCCTCAGAACAACAGATAGGAAGTCTTGACTCTCCCAGTGGAATGTTAATGAATCCGGTAGAAGATGCCACAGGTGACCAAAATGGAATTTGTTTTCAGAGTGAGGAATCTAAAGCAAGAGCTTGTTCTGAAACTGAAGAGTCAAACACGTGTTGTTCAGATTGGCAGCGGCATTTCGATGTAGCCCTGGGAAGAATGGTTTATGTCAACAAAATGACTGGACTCAGCACATTCATTGCCCCAACTGAGGACATTCAGGCTGCTTGTACTAAAGACCTGACAACTGTGGCTGTGGATGTTGTACTTGAGAATGGTAAGTACGTAGTATTCATGTGCATGAGATGCTTTTGAAGATGGGAATGCTGGACAAGGAGTAAGATCCTCATTATCCAAAGAGATTATCTCAACAGATAGAACATTTTGAAGACCACTTATAAAACATATGTTGTATTTTCATGCTATATGAAGATTTGCTACGTCCAACACTACTTTTTTTTTTTTTTTTTTTTGAGACGGAGTCTTGCTCTGTCACCCAGGCTGGAGTGCAGTGGTGCGATCTCAGCTCACTGCAACCTCTGCCCCCCTGGTTCAAGCGATTCTCCTGCCTCAGCCTCCAGTGTAGCTTGGATTACAAGAGCATGCCACCATGCCCAGCTAAATTTTTTTATTTTCAGTAGAGACAGGATTTCACTATGTTGGCCAGGCTGGTCTCAAACTCCTAGCCTCAAGTGATCCACCTGCCTCGGCCTCCCAGAGTGTTGGGATTATAGGTGTGAGCCCGCACGCAGCCTCTAGGTCCAACACTATTTAAATGGAGAAGTACAGTGAAAGGATGTCAGTGTGTGTATATGTGTCTATGGGTGTGTGTATGTGTAAGAAAGGGGGTGATGGGTATATACCTAGAGCAACAACAAAAGGGGTGAGACTGTCCAATTTTAATAAAAATGATACTATTAATAGTTGGGAAGATCCACAGTACTTTCCTACCTTGTTTTCCCTTCCTGTTAAATGCCCAGCTTTCCTAGAAATGTGTCTTTAAAGGCACCTGCAGTGTCAGCATGGTATTTTACTGGAAGTTTCTCTGCGTGGCTTCCAGGTTAAGGGCCAGAATGATTCTGTAATCATCCTAGGTTTCCCAGTAAACTCTATGGCTTAGTACAGTACTACATTTATGAGCTTTTTCTTTCTAGAAAGTAGGACTTGTCCATGAATTTTCAAAATATAGGTCAAGTATATACTTTCATGACTATACTTTTCAAATGTACTTTATTATAATGCATATGGTAAAATCTCCTTGATGTGTTTATGGTACAAGTAGCTGTTATTCAGGAAGACAATAATATGGCATTTATTTATTTGAGACAGAGTTTCACTCTTGTTGCCCAGGCTGGAGTGTAGTGGCGTGATCTCGGCTCACTATAACCTCCGCCTCCCAGGTTCAAGGGATCCTCCTGCCTCAGCCTCCCAAGTAGCTGGGATTACAGGCACCCGCTACCACACCCGGCTAATTTTTTGTGTTTTTGTAGAGACAGGGTTTTACCGTGTTGGCCAGGCTTGTCTCGATCTCCTGACCTCAGGTGATCCACCTGCCTCGGCCTCCCAAAGTGGTGGGATTATAGGCGTGAGCCACTGCACCCAACCAATATAGCTTTTAGATCGTACCACAGGGCTACATTAGAGCCTGCACTAGGACTCTGGGTTCTCGGTCCACATTTAAAGTGATATTGCTTTGGCAGTGTGTTGAGAGCCAGATGTTGGGAGGTGATAAAGCTGATTTCCATCTGGCTATAATCTTGGCTTTGCACTAGGAGGATAAACATTACATCTGTATCCGTATTTAAAATTTTGAATGCTGCAGAAGAATGGAACATGTATAAATGTAGTTATAAGTCAATTTCTAATTTCTCCTGACGATGAATATCTCTAGCAGAAAGCTGTGGTTTCTTTAAGGTTAAATGAAACCTTTACTTTTCAGTGTTTTTCTGTTTTTCCTTGTGAAAAAAAAATCACTGTAGTAACTTCAGTAGTATTTCATAGTATTTTGTAGTATTCATTAGGAGAAAACTCATTTCTTTCACTGTTGTTCCTGAGACTATCAAGTTGCTCTTAAAGCCACTTTATGTGCTTTTCAATCTATGTGGTTTTATGTCCTGACTTACACTGAAGGCTTTTCAGAGGTAAATCTACAGCACTGACACCTCATCTTCCTGAAATGCAACTGCTTCTGATATGGTGCCAAAAAATAACTGGATTACATTATACTGTGAGATGGCTGTTGCTAAAAGAAAGGGGGAAATCTTAGCTGCCATATTCAACGTAAATATTTCTTCCTTTTGAATATAGACGTTTAAAACACTTTAACCTACTTAACATTCTGGATTAGCATACTTTTTTATGAACTTTTGAGGGTCATGTTAACTGATAGTTTCCTAATGAAAAATATTTTTGGTATAGAAAGAAGTTCCATGAACAGATGGCTCCTCAGTACCCTGCTACCTTTCTGGAAATGGCTGATATACATCATGACATCAGGACATTGTCAAACTTTACATAAAAGTGTTACATGAAATAAATTGTTAAAAGACAATTTTTTTTTTTTGAGACGGAGTTTCGCTCTTGTTGCCCAGGCTAAAGTGAAATGGTGCGATCTCGGCTCACTGCAACCTCCGCCTTCTGAGTTCAAGCGATTCTCCTGCCTCAGCCTCCTGAGTAGCTGGAATTACAGGCATGCGCCACCATGCCTGGCTAATTTTGTATTTTTAGTAGAGACGGGATTTCTCCATGTTGGTCAGGCTGGTCTCAAACTCCCAACCTCAGGTGATCTGCCCGCCTCGGCCTCCCAAAGTGCTGGGATTACAGGCGTGAGCCACCAGCCTAAAAGATACATTTTAATGTACAGAAGGAGGATCTATAAAGGTGATTTTGAGGAGTAGTGTCAAGTCCCCAAGCCTTGGTAATTTTTTCTTTAAAATATATTTTATGCAGTTCTTTCTATTGTAGTTATAAACCTTATTTCACTTCATTATCTTAATTTTATCATTCTTAACCTCTCCAGGTTTAGTCCAACAGATTTATCTCTCATGTTTTCCTCCTGTTCTAAAGCTGTCAAATTCAGCATTGTTTCTAAAACTCAAATCTGATTATCCTTCATGGAGAAGAACAGCATTTGGGCCAGATCTTACTAGACTCTGGAGTTTGAATTGAGAACCTTTCATTTGTCTACCTGTTCACTTTTTCATGCAGCATTTGTTGATCATCCACACTGTGCTAGGTGCTGTCACGTTGCAGGTTAACTGACTTTGCTTTTAGGAGTTCACAGTACTATTAGGGAAGATAGCTATCTAAATATAATTGTATTATAATGAGACAAATGTTAGGATAGAGACATACATTGGAGATAAGAGACATAAGTTGGAGATTTGTGAAGGTTGCACCAAGTTATGGCTGACAAGTACTGCTGTATGTCTAACACAGGGCTTCTCTGGGTAATTTTTTGTTGTAAGGTTTGTCCTATGCATTGTAGAATATTTAGCAGCATCCGTGGCCTTTATCTGCTAGATGCTAGTAGAACGTAGAACCCTTTACTCAAGTTGTGACAATGAAAAGTGTCTCAAGCCGGGCACAGTGGCTCACGCCTGTAATCCCAACACTTTGGGAGGCCGAGGCGGGTGGATCACAAGGTCAAGAGTTTGAGACCAGCCCGGCCAATATGGTGAAACCCCATGTCTACTAAAAATACAAAAAAATTAGCCGGGTGTGGTGACGCATGCCTGTAATCCCAGCTACTCGGGAGGCTGAGGCAGGAGAATTGCTTGAACCCGGGAGGCGGAAGTTGCAGTAAGCCGAGATCACGCCACTGTACTCCAGCCCGGGCGACAGAGCGAGACGCCGTCTCAAAAAAAAAAAAAAGGGTCTCAAGACATTGCCAATGTCCCCTCGTGCAAAATTGCCCCCCAGTGAGAATCACAGTGACCTATTCTAGGTCTTCATTCTGTCTGGTATGAATAGATAATGGAACTAAGCATTAATATAGAGTCCTATATGGACAGCATAATTTCATTAAAGGATTTCTGATTCTCAATCTAGTGTTTAGTAGTCTGCTTTATGTCTTGACTCAGTTTGTGCAGAAAGAGGTTTTATGTGATTAAATTTTTAAAGAGTTTACTTGTATTTTAAGTTCACATTTCTAGGTTTTTCTTTCTTATATTTAGGGTCTCAGTACAGGTGTCAACCTTTTAGAAGCGACCTTGTTCTTCCTTTCCTTCCGAGAGCTCGAGCAGAGAGGACTGTGATGAGACAGGATAACAGAGGTAAGGGTGGCAGAGAGTGCTGGGGCACACAGTACACATCGTACCACCTAACTCAAAAAACAAAGCAGGCTTGCATTAAGCTTGATCAGTGCCAGCTGTGCTGTACTGGAATCAGGAATTCCCCACGGCCCTGTTTAACAGCGGAACTAATTAATTCAGCGCATGCATTTAGGTCAGAAATTACTTTTCCAGACTTGAGGTCAATATTTGCTGATTATGCATAGTCTGTGGTGTCTTGTGATTAGGGGACATGTTTCTTATTTTTAAAAAGGCTGGACTTGCACTCCAAGTTGCTGTAGTTTTATGTAAGCAAAACTCTTCAAAAAAAGCTACAGACATCAATTTTGTGTGTATGTTTAAAAATAGATAAGGTATATTTTGCTTAAAGGCAGTAAGGCTATAAATTTGAGCCATAGCTTCTCTGTCAGTATTCCACAATATCTCTTTTAACAGTTTGGAGAAAAGCTGTAATGCCAGAAGATACAGTCACCAACTCTAGTTTAAAAAGTAACAGATCAAAATAATTTAGAGATACAGCAAACACTGAACATTTGTAGAACATAGAAACAATGTACGTGACCTTTGGTCTTGAGGCTATGGCTCACCAAACAGGAAATGCCATTCCCTCCTTTCCCTGTGGTTCTGGATGCCAACTTTACCTGTTCCCTTTTGCCCTAGATACTGTGGATGATACTGTTAGTAGCGAATCGCTTCAGTCTTTGTTCTCAGAATGGGACAATCCAGTATTTGCCCGTTATCCAGAGGTGGGTCTGTAGCAGTTTTTCTTTGCCTTTTTTTTTTCTTCTTCTTCTTCTTATTTTTTAAATTTTGAGATGGAGTTTTGCTCCTGTTGCCCAGACTGAAATGCAATGGCATGATCTCGGCTCACGTAACCTTCGCTTCCCAGGTTCAAGCAATTCTCCTGCCTCAGTCTCTCGAGCAGCTGGGATTACAGGCACCTGCCACCACGCCCAGCGAATTTTGTATTTTTAGTAGAGATGGGGTTTCTCCATATTGGTCAGGCTGGTCTCTAACTCCCAACCTCAGGTGATCTGCCCGCCTCAGCCTCCCAAAGTCCTGGGATTACAGGTGTGAGCCATCACGCCCAGCCTTTCTTTGCCTGTTATTTTAAACTTTGAGTTTCAAGATGGGTACAGTGGCATGCACTTATAGTCTCAGCTACTCAGGAGGCTGAGGTGGGAGGATCACTTGAGGCCAGAAGTTCAAGGCTATATAGTGTGCTGATTGCACCTGTGACTAGCCACTGCACACTATAGCCTGGGCAACACAGTGAGACTCCATCTCTTAAAAAATAAGTAAATTAGTTAAAAATAAAATTTGAATTTTATTTAAGCTGGGTATGGGCATGCAAGACTATATTAATTTGTAATTATGATTGGAAACTGGGCATATTTCCAAATTATGTATTTGGAAATTACTGTTTAATGTAGAGGGGAGAAATAAAATTTATAGCATTTGGGAACTCAGGCATTTTGGATTAAACATGTATAATCAATGTGAGAACAGTGAATGTGTTTACCACTCTCAGAAACCCTGACTTGTAGCTTTGGCACAGTATTCAGGGTGGTGATAATGAAATTGTTATCATTAGATAAAGCCACACATCTTCTACTGGAGGAACAGTTCCTCATTGGCCCCGCATGGATGTTCTCTCCTCAGTGTATTTTCACAGAATGTACTGTGCATGTTATAAACAGGGTGTATAATAGATGAGCATTTGTTTACCAGTTCTTTCCTCAAGATATCATTTGAGGACTTGATCATGGAACATAGACAAATTGTTGTTGTGAAACAATTTTTTTTGTTTTGTCAGTAATTTTGTTTATAAGCAAAAATTTTTATGTAAGACTCATTATTCATAAATTCTTTTGAATTTTTTTTTTTTTTTTTTTTTTTTTTTTTTTTTTTGTGACAGAGTCTTGCTGTGTCGCCCAGGCTGAAGTGCAGTGGCGTGATCTCAGCTCACTGCAAGCTCCGCCTCCCGGGTTCACACCATTCTCCTGCCTCAGTCTCCCAAGTAGCTGGGACTAAAGGCGCCTGCCGCCACGCCCAGCTAATTTTTTGTATTTTTTAGTAGAGATGGGGTTTCACCATGTTAGCCAGGATGGTCTCGATCTCCTGACCTCGTGATCTGCCCGCCTCAGCCTCCCAAAGTGCTGAGATTACAGGTGTGAGCCACCACGCCCGGCCGATTCTTTTGAATTTCTATAAATTCCCTGAATTAAACCCACCTCTAGTAGGCTAAATAAAAATGAATGCTTTTAAAGCACTCTGATATCTTTGGTAAAACAATTCTGACACAAAAATTAAAATTTCAATTATATTTTGCTGAGTCTTTCTAGGTTGCTGTTGATGTAAGCAGTGGCCAGGCTGAGAGCTTAGCAGTTAAAATTCACAACATCTTGTATCCCTATCGTTTCACCAAAGGAATGATTCATTCAATGCAGGTAAAAGATTAACTTCAAAATCTCATAAATATATATATATATATATATATATATATATATATATGGCCTAACTCTTCTAAAATTTGATTTATTTAATGATATAGACCACCTTGGTCAAGGCACGTGTGTGTGTGTGTGTGTGTGTGTGTGTTCTTACTAGAACTTTTATCATCAGAAGAAAAAGCAAGGGATTAATTATAATTACAAAGAAAGAAATATCTTTAGTAGTGTAAGTAGGTTTGGAGGGAATGAATTATGGATTCAGGCTGACAGTTTCAAGGATTCTCAAGGTTCTCCTGCAGAAGATTATATATTGACTTTATATTTGGCAATAATTTATAAATCAAAGTCCTTTAGTGACCTTGTCCTTAAGTGTGCAACAGTGCCCTTTTAGAAATTACCTTCTATTGTGTGAGCCTACACAGGTTTGGGAAAGCCCATATTGAGAAGTCATTTCACAAAAGGGACCCTTTGTCTGATCTGCTTTTCTATTTTGCCTTGTGTTTACCACCATGGCTGTCTTATTCCCTTTGTTTTCAGTACGGAAACAAATTAGGAGGCTAACAAATTTGGGTAAACTCCTAACCTGGCATTGACCTGGTACCAGAGCAGGCAAGCAGTTGATCCAGAAATAGACCCTGGGGCAGTGGTATAGGCTCGGGGGTATTGGAGAGCCTCAAGTACCTAGACAGAGAGGAACCACCAAGGTCTAAAGCCACCAGTGGCTTTTAACTTACTTCTTTAATAGACTAGCAGCCGGGCGCGCTGGCTCACGCCTGTAATCCCAGCACTTTGGGAGGCCGAGGTGGGTGGATCATGAGGTCAGGAGTTCGAGACCATCCTGGCTAACACGGTGAAACCCCGTCTCTACTAAAAATACAAAAAATTAGCTGGGCGTGGTGGCGGGCACCTGTACTCCCAGCTACTCGGGAGGCTGAGGCAGGAGAATGGCATGGAGGCAGGAGAATGGCATGAACCCAGGAGGCAGAGCTTGCAGTGAGCCGAGATCACACCATTGCACTCCAGCCTGGGTGACAAAGTGAGACTCCGTCTCAAAAAAAAAAAAATTAAAAATAAATAAAAATAAAAATAGACTAGTTTCTCCATAATCGTTTTCCTTGCTTTCATATAAATTTTAAAAATTTATTTCAGCCTGTATGTTAGCAATCTCTGGTCACATTACCTATTCTCAAGAGTCACTCTGTTGGGAACATCTCAGGCCTTCTCTAAAGTATTGCTAGCACACCACTCTGAGACGTGGGAGTCTGTCTTCCCCTGTCGCCTCCCTCCCCTTACATCTTCTGATCAACTCCACCTGCCCATTCTTTCATCCTTCCTAGTGACTTTTTCTGGTTCATCAGAACCTTACCCAGTCTCAAAGAAAGGAGTGTGATAAGGCAAACAACTCTAAATAAAATACAGTTCTGTATCTTTCTATGCAAATAAGCCTTTGTTAATTTTTATTTAGTGTTGTACCACTTATTTGAATGTCTGACAGGTTCTCCAGCAAGTAGATAACAAGTTTATTGCCTGTTTGATGAGCACTAAGACTGAAGAGAATGGCGAGGCAGGTAAGAATGGAGTTTAGCCTGAATGATTAACCAGCTGGTCTTCTTGTAACCTTTTTTTAATGATTATTTTTGGTATATAATATAGTTTCAATGATTTGGATGGATTAGGGAAAGCCAATCTAAAACTAAGAATATTATGAAGGCTGGGTGCGGTGGCTCACACCTGTAATCCCAACACTTTGGGAGGTGAGGCAGGTGGATGGCTTGAGGCCAGGAGTTCAGGACCAGCCTGAGCAACATGGCAAAACCCCGTCTCTACTAAAAATACAAAAATTAGCTGGGCATGGTGGTGTGCACCTGTAGTCCCAGCTACTCAGGAGGCTAAGGCACAAGAATCGCTTGAACTTGGGAGGCAGAGGATGTAGTGAGCCGAGATTGCGCTATTACACTCCAGCCTGGGCGACAGACATTTAGTTTTATGTTCATACACATACATATACTCAGGATGCACATTAAACTATCAAGAGTATTTACTTTGGGAGTGAAAATGAGGGTGTGCAAAGGAGATATTTCAACTTTTACTCTTTTTGTCTTTTTTTTTTCCTTTTTGTGGAGAACGGGGTCTCGCTATATTGCCCAGGTAGGTCTCGAACTCCTGGGCTTAAGCTATCCTTCCACCTCTGCCTCCCTAACAGCTGGGATTACAGGTGTAAGCCACCACGCCCAGCCCATCTTTTATTCTTTTAAATATTTTCTATTGTTTGACTTTTTAATAATATTTTCATGTTTTCCCTTTATAATAATAGAAAGTGTATATAATGAACTCTGCTAGGTTTGTCAATATTTACACAGAATCTCTTGGTGACCTGCTCTAATGAAACAATAATAGTTTGTAAATATATTAACTCATTCAACAAGTATTAATTGAGTGCCCATTGTATGCCAGGGACTGTACCAGGCCCTAGGGATACAATAATGAGAAAAGATATATATGCAAGAGAAAAAAATAATTACACAAACATAAAATTTTAGTTCTAGCCCCTGTAATGGAGAAAGAGATACAAGATGCTCTAAGAACCTGTATTGGGAGATTTGATTTCATCAGGGAGTTCAGGGAAGTGCTTCTTGGTAAAATGAGGTCTGAATATGAATATGAGTTAACTAAGTAAAGAAAGGAGGGAACAACCATGCAATTTGTGATTTATTCTCCTCAGTGAGTGGAAACAGGGCAAGGGGAACTGGAGATGAGGCTAGAGAAGTAGGTAGGAGTCAGATCTTAAATGCCAGCTACAAGCTTTGCTTTGTCCCAATACTGTTGGAAACCATTGAAAGCTTTTTTTTTTCATTTTTTATCATTTGTATTTTGATGTTGTTTTTGGGGTGGTACATGTCACATCACATTTGCATTTTAAAAAGATTGCTCTGGTTGTAGTGTGGAGAATGGAGTAGGAGTAGGGGTGGAGTCCCAGTTAACTGTAGATTGACTGTTAAAAGAATATTGCAATATCTGAGACATGGTTAGATGGGACCAGGGTGGACTAGAGAGCAGTGAATGTATTGGAAAGATATTTAGGAGATAGAGTCAGCAGGGCTTGGTGATGGATTGGATATGGGGAAAGTATGTAAAAGATGACTTCTGGTGTTCTGGCCTCCATAGCTGAGTTGATGATGTTGCAGGACCCGTGTTGCAGGCAGAGCAGAGAGGATGAAAATCATGAGTTCAGTCTTTGAAATGCTCCAGAAGAGATGTCAAGGTGGCCAGGCACGGTGGCTCACGCCTGTAATCCCAGCACTTTGGGAGGCCGAGGTGGGTGGATCACCTGAGGTCAGGAGTTGAGACCAGCCTGGCCAACATGCTGAAACGCTGTCTCTACTAAAAATACAAAAATTAGCTGGACATGGTGGCAGATGCCTGTAATCCCAGCTACTCGGGAGGCTGAGGCAGAGAATTGCTTTAACCCGGGAGGCGGAGGTTGCAGTGCGCCAAGATCGCACCACTGCACTCCAGCCTGGGTGACAGAGCGAAACTCTGTCAAAAAAATAAAATAAAAAGATGTCAAGAATGTGGTTGGATATTACAAGTCTGGCCTAGACAAGTGTTCTGACATGGAGATACAAATTTGAGCCATCAGATGCAGAAAAGTGATCACTGAAACCCTGGATATAAATGTTATCACCTAGAAAAAAGAAGAGTGAGGAGAGGTCTTGAATCTAGAATAATTCTAGCACTTAAGAGCTCGGTAGAAGAGGATGAACCAGCAAAAGAGACTGTGAAAGAACAGCTAGAGAAATAGGAAGAAAACAGAAGAATGTTATGTTGGAAAACCAGGATGTCATGCCAAACGCTGCCAAGACATTAAGTAAGATGAGGATCATCTGATTTTGTGACAGTAGAGATTAGGGATTTTAGCAAGTGAGAGCTGTTTCAGAGAATAGACAGGACGAGATGCTGATGGTGCTAATGGAGACTGCAAGGAGATACTCAGAAATGTGCCCATGACACGGAAGAGGGACTACAGAGGGTGAGGGTGACAGAGGACCTTTTTTTTTTAATGGGAGAAACTTGAGCACATTTGCAAGGGATGCCTGATGGGATAAAGTCCCTGAAAAGGCCTGAGTGGCTGAGCCCTGAGCAGCAGTGGAGGGCTGGCTCCAGCTTGATAGTACCTGCAGGCAAGTGCTAAAGTTTTAGAGCATTTATTCTCTATGTATTTCAAAATATTCCCTTTACCTTGTTTAGTAAATGTCATAGCAGATCAAAGGCAAATTAACCTAAAGTTCTGTCAGAATTATCATGAATATAGAATTTGTGAAGATCAAATTCCTATAGTTTTACTATTTCTAGAAAAGTAATAGTTTTTTGTTGTTGTTGTTTTTGAGACGAAGTTTCACTCTTGTTGCCCAGGCTGGAGTGCAATGGTGCAATCTCAGCTCACTGCAACCTCCGCCTCCTGGGTTCAAGCGGTTCACCAGCCTCAGCCTTCCAAGTAGCTGGAATTACAGGCACCCGCCACCCACGCCCAGCTAATTTTGTATTTTTAGTAGAGACGGGGTTTCTCCATGTTGGCCAGGCTGGTCTCGAACTCCTGATCTCAGGTGATCCGCCCGCCTTGGCCTCCCAAAGTGCTGGGATTACAGGCATGAGCCAACCCGCCTGGCCAATTTTTTTTTTAAGTTTTCATTATCTGGAATTCTTTGTTGTTTTTGAGATCAGAATCTCTACTAATGATACTCAAGATGGGTGTAACTACAAAATCTGCAGATGTTGAAAGAAGCAAAATGGATCTGTTGAAATTTCTCTTTTTTTCTTTACTTTTTTTTTTTTTTTTTTTTTTTTGAGATGGAGTCTTGCTCTGTCGCCCAGGTGGGATTGCAGTGGTGCAATCTCGGCTCACTGCAGTCTCCCCTTCCCGAGTTCAAGGAATTCTTCTGCCTCAGCCTCCCAAGTAGCTGGGACTACAGGCACCTGCCACCACGCCCGGCTAATTCTTGTATTTTTAGTAGAGACAGGGTTTCACCATGTTGGTCAGCTGATCTTGAATTCCTGACCTCAAGTGATCTGCCCTCCTCAGCCTCCCAAAGTGTTGGGATTACAGGCATGAGCCACAGGCCCAGCCAGAATCTGTGTTTTAATAAGATCCCCAGGGGGTATGTGATATGAACGTTTGAGAAGCCCAAGTCTAAGGCAGGATAAACATGGCCCGAGGGGAATCTGGGCATCACCTCTTTCTGTACAGCCAGGGAGATGGGAATGGTTTTTACATTTTTTAATGGTTGGGAAAAAAAAAGAAGACTATTTCTTGACACATTAAAATTATATGAAATTAGTATTTCAGTGTCCATAAATAAAGTTTTATTGGAACACAGCTACGATATTCACATATTGTCTATGGCTGCTTTGGCTCAAAAAGAATTGTTGAGTAGGCATGACAGAAATCGTGTGGCCCAAAAAGCCTAAAATATTTATGATCTGGCCCTTCAGAAAACGTTCTCCGGCTTGTGATCTAAAGTGCACTGGAAGTACATTCTTTGTGGGTTTCCAAGTAGCTTGTACACCAAGGTTAGCTGATTATAACAATGTGTTGTTTAACGATCCTTTATCATATTAAAGTTGAATTAATAAGGCAAAATCAGTATTTAAACATAAGAATTATATATTCAAGCTTCAAACTTGAGGAAATGCCACTTTGACTTTTTTTTTTTTTTTTAAGATGGAGTCTCACTCTGTCACCAGGCTGGAGTGCAGTGGTGCAATCTCGGCTCACTGCAACCTACACCTCCTGGGTTCAAGCGATTCTCCTGCCTCAGCCTCCCAAGTAGCTGGAACTACAGGCGCGTGCCACCACACCCAGCTAATTTTTGTATTTTTAGTAGAGACAGGGTTTCACCATGTTGGCCAGGATGATCTCGATTTCTTGACCTCATGATCCGCCCGCCTCAGCCTCCCAGTGTGCTGGGATTACAGGTGTGAGACACTGCACCCAGCCCTGACTATGTTTTCTAAATGAGATGCTGGTGAACTAAAGAGTTTCTTAGTTTACCTTTTGTTTCCTAAAAAATGAAATTATGGGGAAAATAATAAAACTTATAGGATAAAAATTAGTAATACTGGTAATCTCTGGAGAGAGAAACTAGAAGGGGTGGGGGCAAGAGTATAAAGGAGACTTTATTAAATTCCCTTTTGTGCCTTTCAGAATTGGATCTGGGATTCAAACATATGGGATAAGTTTGCTATCATTTTCCCCATAATTTCATGTTTTAGGAAATAAAAGATACAATTGTTACTCCTCAGAATGTTTTGTCTTATGCTGTTGTTAGATAGTTTGAATTAAGTCTTCTCTGTCCTCAACACACATGATGGTTGTCGTCTTGCTCTGAGAATCAAAGTTCACAATCCTTGCTCATCTAGGTGGGAACCTGCTCGTGCTGGTGGATCAGCACGCTGCCCATGAGCGTATACGTCTGGAGCAGCTTATCATTGGTAAGGATCTGTTTGCAGCCAGAAAAAATTTGAGACTCCCAGCAGAATCAGTACACCTCAAAGAGCTTTTCTAACTGCAACTGTTGTGAGAAAGCACACTTTGTACTGTATGTTCAAAAATTAAACTAAAGTCCTGCAGTTTGGCCTGTGTTATAATTGAAAGAATGTGGTAGTTCACTAATTGAAAGATGTGAACTTATTTATGTGGTCAGAGGCATATTTGCCAGATGTTATTAACAACCCAGAAGTACGCAAGGATAGGCTGCTTACTCTGACATCCAGCACAAAGCTCTGCCCCTCCATATGCCCGGTGATCTTGGCATGCCTTCCCACACTCCATCAGGCAGAGACCAGTGGCAGCTCAGAAGGCCCAGTATGCTGTTTTGATTTTAAAATTTAGTTTGCTTTTGAATATGCAGTATAATCAAATAGATCCAATTCTGAAAGGCACAAAAGGGAATATAATAAAGTCTCCTTTCTATCCTTGTCCCCACCCCTCCTAGTTTCTCTCCCCAGAGACAACCAATATCTCTGGTTTTTAAATCTATCTTTCCAAAGCAATATATGCTTTTTAAATGTTTTTTTTTGCTACCCTTTTCCTCATCATGAGGCAGTGTGTTCACCAAGTGGTAAAATACCAGGAAAGTCTTTACTCCTGTGGCCAATGAGTAATGTCAAAGAGTTAGGCAAGGACCTAAGGAGTGCTTCATGGACTAGAATGGCAATGATATTACTACTGTTTTCACTTTTCCTTATAAAATGACGGCCTAAGAGTTGGGAAAGATATAGTAAAAACAGTGTTAGAAAAACTTACCTCTACAGGCCCTGCACCATTTGAGAATAGTACTAATTCTCTCCAGAGACTGGGAGACCCTGCTCAAGGAAAGGGAAGCCTTCTGGAGCCATAAGACTGTGTGGTCAACCCACATATGTTCCTGGTAATCCACATTATTCACCTCTGTCATCAAAACAACATTTATTAACTACAGGAACATTGGCTTGTTCATCTGAATGTAAGATGCAAGTCTTATATTTCTTATTTTGAAAAATACTACCAAAATTGTTAATAGGCTGAATATTTATTAGTTTGACTTTAAAAATGGAAATCCAAAATCTAAAACTGAACATTAAACATTCTGCTTTGCATTAGAATGATTATCTCAAGGCCGTGCTTTATTTTTATCTGAATCTAGAAGACTTCCCTTCCTACTCTTAACCCATTCATCTTTCTGCCAATAGATTCCTACGAGAAGCAACAGGCACAAGGCTCTGGTCGGAAAAAATTACTGTCTTCTACTCTAATTCCTCCGCTAGAGATAACAGTGACAGAGGAACAAAGGAGACTCTTATGGTCAGTACCACCATGAGAATGTGATGTTGATGGTATCAATTCTCACAATAATTCTGTGAGGAATAAGCATAACTATTGTTCCATTTCTCAGATGAGACCAAGAGAGGTTACAAGACTTGTCTAAGGTCATAGCAGTTATTAAGTAGTGGAGCAGGCACTCAAAGGCAGGTCGTCTGACTCCACAGGCTGTTTGTTTCCTTTTTTAAAATATATTTTTTTCTGCATCCAATCATCCATTAAAATATTTATTTTGTGAGACATGGTCTCACTCTGTTGTCCAGGCTGGAGTGCAGTGGCACAATCTCTGCTCACTGCAACCTCCACCTTCCAGGCTCAAGCAGTCCTCCCACTTCAGCCTCCCAAGTACCTGGAACTACAGGTGAGCACCACCATGCTGGACTAATTTTTGTAATTTTTTGGTAGAGATGGGTTTTCGCCATGTTACCCAGGCTGGTCTGAACTCCTAGGCTCAAGCGATCCTCCCACTTTGGCCTCCCAAAGTGCTGGGATTACAGGCGTGAGCCACTGGACCCAGCCTATTCTTTCCACTGTATCCCAGCTGAAGAGTATAGGATAGAGTTTCCCTGATAATTTTTTCCAGCAGTTGGCTTAGAACACTCTTCTCATTTCTTGGAACAGTCTGTGTTTATGCCATGCTTTGTGAAAGCAAAGTTTCTGCAGTAATTGGTCCCATTCTGCTTTGCTTTGGTGCATTCTAGACTCTTAGTTTTCATTATCGTAATCATAATGGGAAGAAAGTAAAACATTGGGATGTAAGGAAGGGGCGAATCATATAGTGAGTCACAAGATAGGATATTTTTCCTCTTCTAGGCAGCACAAATTATTGAAAATGAAAAAGAAATTTCTCCCAATATGTTTCAGGTTTGGGAATATGATACTGCCAGTAAATCTTTTTTTCCCTATGACATAATTTATATTAGAGGCAGATCTATTTACTTACATCCCGTTAGTCAGGACTTCTCAATTCCTTGGGCTGTTAATTACCTCCCTGCTTTAATGCTGATTCAAATCACTCTCAGACCTTTTCTTCATGCCAGACTCCCTTAAGTGCCAGCAGCCAGAAGTTAGCAGTTCCTCAATGAAGAAAACACACTTAGAAACAAGACTTAGACACAGATTGATTCCCAATGGAAAAGAGAAAAACAATAAAGGTTACTGTAATTCAAAAAGGAAATTTGATAATAAAAAATCCCAAACACCCACACATAAGTGTGAGAAAAACAATACGGTTGTTAAGCCCTGTGGCAGCTTTTGAAAAACTATTAAGTAGTATTTGGAACCAGTAGTGAAGTGCAAATGAAGTAGCACTCTTTTTTTTTTTAACATTTGAGGTTATCTCTTTAGGTGTTACCACAAAAATCTGGAAGATCTGGGCCTTGAATTTGTATTTCCAGACACTAGTGATTCTCTGGTCCTTGTGGGAAAAGTACCACTATGTTTTGTGGAAAGAGAAGCCAATGAACTTCGGAGAGGAAGATCTACTGTGACCAAGAGTATTGTGGAGGTAAGACACAGCTGCAGATGTTAAGGAAATTGCTGAGTGATGGTAACCTCATATTTTGTCTGTAGATTCTCTGAATTCATCTTTTCTTCAACAAGTATTCATGGTATTTACCTGCGGTGTGCCAGGAGCTAGAAATTCAGAGATGAGTTAGCTCAAAATAAGGAAGAAGGGCATTTAAAGAATTATAGTCAGTGAACTTTGGCTAGTAGAGGTATGTGTTTTGCTTTCTTCCCAGTGATAAAGGTAATGAAAACTAAGAGTCTAGAATGCACCAAGATAGTTTTTCAGAAGTGTTATGGAAACACAGAATGACTTGTGTGCCTGGGGAGGTGAAGTCAATGAAAATGTCACAGAAAAGCTGTTTTCTTAAGAAAAGTTTTTACTTTTGAGAGACCAGGTCTCACTCTGTTGCCCAAGCTGGAGTGCAGTGGTGCAATCATAGCTCACTGTAGCCTTGATCTCCTGGGCACAAGCAATCTTCCTGCCTCAGCCTCCCAAGTAACTCGGACTACAGACACGCACCACCATGCCTGGCTAATTTTTTCCTTTTTTTTTTTTGTAGAGATGGGGGCCTCACTATGTTGCCCAGGCTGGTCCTGAACTTCTGGCCTCAAGCAATCCCCTTGCATTGGCTTCCCAAACCCCCGGCACTACAGGCATGAGCCACTGCACACAGCCAGAAAAGTCTTACAGAATAGTGGGAAACTAGGCTGGGCAAGGTGGCTCACACCTGTAATGCCAGCACTTTGGGAGGCCGTGGTGGGTGGTTCACCTGAGGTCGGGAGTTCGAGACCAGCCTGACAAGCATGGAAAAACCCCATCTCTACTAAAAATAGAAAATTAGCCGGGCGTGGTGGTGCATGCCTATAATCCCAGCTACTCAGGAGGCTGAGGCAGGAGAATGGCTTGAACCTGGGAGGCGGAGGTTGCATTGAGCCAAGATTGCACCATTGTACTCCAGCCTGGGCAACAAGAGTGAAACTCTGTCTCAAAAAAAAAAAGAAAAAAAGAATAGTGGGAAAGTGCTGAGTACAGAAGAGGGGAGAAGGGCATTCTAGACAGAGGAATACATATCAGAGACTTGAGATACATCCTATGTTTAGGGAACTATCAATAGATATGGCTCAAATTAAGATCTACAGTTGATCCTTGGATAACTTGGGTCTGAACTGCGCAGGTACACTTAAATGCAGATTTTCTTTCACCTCTGCCATTCCTGAGACAGCAAGACCAACCTTTCCTCTTCTTCCTCCTCCTTAGCCTATTCAATGTGAAAATGATGAGGGTGAAGACCTTTATGATGATTCATTTCCACTTAATGAATAATAAATATATTTTCTGTTTCTTATGATTTTCTTAACATTTTCTTTTTCTTTCTTTCTTTCTTTCTTTCTTTTTTTTTTTTTTTTGCGATGCCCAGGCTGGAGTGCAATGGCACAATCTCAGCTCACTGCAACCTCCACCTCCCGGGTTAAAGCGATTCTCCTACCTCAGCCTCCCAAGTAGCTGGGATTACAGGCGCACACCACCATGCCCCGGCTAATTTTTGTATTTTTAGTAGAGATGGGGTCTCACCATGTTGGCCAAGCTGGTATTGAACTCCTGACCTCAAATGATCCACCTGCCTTGGCCTCCCAAAGTGCTGGGATTACAGGCATGAGCCACTACGCCTGGCCAACATTTTCTTTTCTCTAGCTTACTTAATTGTAAGAATACAGTGTGTAATATATACAACACACAAAATATGTGTTAATCAACTGTTTATATTATTGGTAATGCTTCTGATCAACGTTAGGCTATTGGTAGTTAAGATTTGGGGAAATCAGGCCAGGTGCAGTGGCTCACGCCTGTAATCCCAGCATTTTGGGAGGCCAAGGCGGGCGGATCATTTGAGGTCTGGAGTTCAAGACCAGCCTGGCCAACATGATGAGACCCCGTCTCTACTAAAAATTAAAAAATTAGCCAGGCATGATGGTATGTGCCTGTAATCCCAGCTACTTGGGAGGCTGAGGCATGAGAATTGCTTGAACCCGGAAGGTGGAGGTTGCAGTGATCCAAGATCACTGCACTGCACTCCAGCCTGAGTGACACAGTAAGACTCCGTCTCAAAAAAAAAAAAAAAAAAATTGGGGGGAAATCAGAAGTTATACTTGGATCTTTGACTGGATGGGAGTTGGCTAGATGGGTTGTCAAGGTCAAATCATAAAATAATTTAGCATATTCTACTAAGTAGTTTGCATTTTATCCTATAGGCAGCCAGTGAAAACTTTTAAGCAGGAGAGTAAGGTCCATTTTAGATTGCATTCCAAATATGATTACTTTACATATATGTTTTGGTAAAGGTTTGGAAAGCTACTGCTGGGCTGTGGCATTGGAGGTATTAGAGAGAACTATTACTTTTTATTTTGATTACTTATATGTTTCTTTTTTTATAGCAAATATCATTTATTTTGTCTTTATTGTCTTTTTCCTCTCCTTTCCTGTTTTCTATTATAGTTTTCTGTATTTCTCTTTTTTTTTTTGCTCTACTCGTTTAGAAGTTATATATTCCATTTATATCCTTTTAGAGATTAGCCTTAACTTTTAGCATGCATACTTATCAAAGTTTAAAAGTAATTCACTTCTCTATCCTCTTCCTAACTGTACCAAAATCTTACAAACTGTTCATCTCCCATCACCCTCCTCCCATCTTCCATGTTGCTGTCTAGTACTTTAATTCCACCTTGTTTTTAATTCCCTGGTGGTCATTTATTTTATAGTCAATCTTTATTTAGATTAAAAAAAGTGTTCACCAGAGTCTTTGTTCACCATTGCCTCTTGCATCCTACTTATTCTGTGTTCTTTTGGGTTTTTTTTTTTTTTTTTTTTTTTTTTTTTTACTGAAGTAAATCTCTTACAAGATCTTTTATCCACAAACAGATCTTGAGACAAAAAATACAAAAATATAAAAATAAATAGAAGTTATTTTAGTAAGAGTCCGTGGGCCAGGCATGGTGGCTCATGCCTGTAATCCCAGCACTTTGGGAGGCCAAGGCGGGCAGATCACCTGAGGTCAGGAGTTTTGAGACCAGCCTGGCCAACGTGGTGAAACCCTGTCTCTACCAAAAATACAAAAATTAGCTGGGCATGGTGGCAGGTACTTGTAATTCCAGCTACTCGGGAGGCTGAGGCAGGAGAATCACTTGAACCCGGGAGGCGGAAGTTGCAATGAGCTGAGATCACGCCATTGCACCCCAGCCTGGGTGACAAGAGTGAAACTCTGTCTCAAAAAAAAAAAAGTCCGTGAATGATAAGCTGTCTTTTAAAGTATCTTTATTTTGTCTTCATACTTGCATGATTATCTAGCTAAAAACAGAATTTCACATTGCCAGTTATCCCCCCCGCATTTTGAAAATATTTCACTACTTTTGACTTTCTATTTTATTTTATTTTATTTCATTTTTTGAGACAGAGTCTCACTCTGTTACCCAGGCTGGAGTGCAATGGGATGATCTCAGCTCACTGCAACCTCCGCCTCCCAGGTTCAAGCGATTCTCCTGCCTAAGCCTACAAAGTAGCTGGGATTACAGGTGCCCACCACCACACCCAGCTAATTTTTGTATCTTTAGCAGAGATGGGGTTTCACCATGTTGGCCAGGCTGGTCTCAAACTCCTGACCTCAGGTGATCTGCCTGCCGTGGCCTCCCAAAGTGCTGGGATTACAGGTGTGAGCCACTGCACCCAGCCTGACTTTCTGTTTTAGCCATTGAAGTCCTTAGTCAATCCAATTATTACTCTGTAGGTAATCTGATTTTCCCTCTGGTTGCTTTTACGATGGTTCACTTTGTCTTTGGTGTTCTGCAATTTCCCTATGATGTATCTTTGTATGGATTTATTTTCATTTCCTTCTGGAGATTCACTATGCTTCTTCAGTTTGGAAAGTATGCAGTCATTATCACCTCAAACGTTTCTTTCCCATTCTCTCTCTTGTCTCTTGGAAATTTTGTCAGATATCTACTGGGCCTTATCTTTCTACTCTGCATGCCTCTTCAACTCTCTTCCATATTTCCCATTGCTTTCTCTCTGTGATACATTCTGTGAAATCTCCTCACTTATCTTCCAGTGAACTAAAGTATCTCTTCATCTTCTGTTTAATTATGTGTTTAGCTTATCCACTGAGTTTTTTATTTCAGTGACTAAATTTTTTATTTCAATGGCTATATTTTTTATTTCCAGAAGTTGTGTTTTTTTCCCCAAATCTCACTCTTCCTTTTTTATGGTGTCCTGCTTTTTTCATGATTGTTCCTTCTCCTTTATCAGTAGCTTTCTTGATTTGGAGCACAGGCAAATCCACACCCACCTCATCTAGAAGTCTGAAGTGCTTTAGTAATATCTAAAATAGTAAAATCTAAAATTAGAGGATAGATGTAGTAGATAAATTGGGGGATGGATTTATGTGGGAAGATTTGAGTCAGGGAGAGCAGCTGACGGGTTATTGCAGTGGTTAAGGTAAGAGAAGATGAGGATTGGACTGAGTCAGTAGCAGAGGGAGTAGAGAGGAGTGACATATCTGAGACAGAATTTGGGAGGCAGAAGCAAGAGGACTTGGTGAGCAATCAAACGTGAAAGGAATAAAGGAGAAAACAAAAGCAACAGTGATTCTGAGGGTTGTAGCATGGATGGCTGGAAGGATGGTGGTGCCATTGACAGAGAAGGGACACAGATGAGGAGGAACAAACCTGCCTAGGAGTTCCATCGTGAAGGTGGGTTTAGACACAGTGAATGTGCCTGCAGGTGGAATGCCCAGTGGATAGGCACACTTAAAAGATCTGGTACTTGGAAAATAAATCTGGGCTGTACATATCTATCTGAGAGTTAACAGTATATATATATTGATAGTATCAGAAGCTGGAGAAGGGCCTTGAGGAAGTGAGGTTGTCCAGGGAGAATATGGAGAGTGAAAAGGAAGAGACAAAAGAGTGGAGCCTGTGGAACATCAGCATCCAGGGTGCGTATGCTTTGGAAAAGGTCTGGAAAGCTCTGCTGAAAAGAGGAAATTCTAAGGATGGCTGAAAATACTTGGTTAGAGAGGGAGGAGGAAAACCAGGAAAAAGCAATATTGCCAAAACTAAGGAAAGTTTTAAGCAAGGAGGGAATGGTCAATAACGGCTATGAAGTAGAGCCTGAAACGCTGGACTTGACTGTCATGAGGACATTAGTTGTCTTGTGGAATCATTTCCTGGGGATGAGGTGGGGCAGAAGATAAGAGTGCAGTGAGTCAGGAGTGCGTGAAGCAGGAGGAAGTGAAGCTAAGTAGACAACTCTTTCAGGAACTTTGGCTACACACAGAAGAAGAGAGATGGGGTGAGAGCTAAAGGTTAGAAGTGGTTGGGAAGTGTGGGGTGGGATTCAAGGCTGAGGAAAGGTGTTTGTTTGCTTTAAGACAAAAAAGACGTAAGCAGGTTTGCAGGCCAAGGGGGAAACATTCAAGAGGAAGAGCAGCTGTCAGTCAGCTCTTGGGTCATCTTGGCTTTGCCCTTTCCAGAATCGCCTTTGGATCAGACAGATCCAAAGATTTGCTCTGCTTCCAGCAAAGCTCTTTCCTCCCCACAGACATGCTTTCTCTAAGACCCCTGCTCCAAATTGTCCTAAATCCAAAAGATAGGATCTGTTAGAGTCTTTTATTGTAATTCAATCCCTAATATGTAACCAGAAAATTATAAGAAAAACTTTTCCTGAAGGAACTTAAAAGACTACTGTTAAGGAGTTTGCTTCAAATGGAAACAAACCTCTGGTTTCATAAAATCTTGATTATCCTATGTCAGGCTGATCAGGAGAGACTTTGTGTGATTCTGGAAGAAGCTGGAACAGTTTTGGTGTTTTGAGGAGGTAGCTATTTGAATCCTAGCAGTTGAAAGATCATTAATACATCCTTCTATAAAGCTCTATCTTCTAGCCTGGTGAGGAGGTGGAGGCTGCAGTGAGCTGAGATCGCGCCATGGCACTCCAGCCTGGGCAACAACGAGACTACGTCTCAAAAAATTAAAAATAATAAATAAATACGGCCAGGTGCAGTGGCTCACAACTGTAATCCCAGCACTTTGGGAGGCCGAGGCAGGCGGATCATCTGAGGTCGGGAGTTCGAGACCAGCCTGACCAACATGGAGAAACCCTGTCTCTACTAAAGATACAAAATTAGCCAGGCGTGGTGGTGCATGATTGTAATCCCAGCTACTCAGGAGGCTGAGGCAGGAGAATCGCTTGAACCCAGAAGGCAGAGGTTGCGGTGAGCCAAGATCGTGCCATTGCACTCCAGCCTGGGCAACAAGAGTGAAACTCCATCTCAAAATAAGTAACTAACTAACTAAATAAATAAATAAAAAATAAAATAAAAATATTAAATTATCCAGCATTAAACAGACCATTGGAATATAAAATGGACTGAGATGAGACCCATCACCCCTTCACTAAGCTTACAAACAGATGTTTTACCATCCCAGATGTACAAACACAAGAATGTTTGCTCTCCATCCACACTAAGCTTTGTCAGTGGATTGAGTCTTATGAGACCATCTTTCTGTTTAGGTTTGTTTGGGAAAACATGTGATTTTTAAATTATATGTAATATAGTATCTACTACCTAGCTCTTGATAACTGTGCCCATTTATAGGCATGGCAGACTAGAGTATAGATGAAGGAGGGAAGAGAATTTCCTGAGTCTGGTTTTAAAAGAAAAGGTACCATGTTGTAATCTTAGGAGCAGATTTACACATAGCCTTTTCCAGGAGTAAAGAAATGATTTTCTTATAAAGAAATCATTAAATGTGCAACAGGTTTTTTTCTTTTTACCTCCAGAGGTTAAACAAATTGGTAGCATGAAATAGTGTCTGCTTTAAATTTCTTTAAGCTTCTTTTGTAAATATTAATATCCACAGGGATATAACTATTGAAAAGGTTACCCCAGGGACAGAGACATGCAAGGGAGGAGAAATTTCTCAACAAAGGGCCTCAGAAAATAAACTTTCTGACCTGAAGGGAATTGTCCCCAAAAAGCCCGTGGGAACTAAAGTGACTGTTTACTTATGTTTATGATATTTAAGCAAGTGTTATACTGAGCAGTGGTTGTGTTGATGGTTGTTGTGTATTTATTCTCAGTTTGTGTGTAATATTACGCTTGTTCTGGCTAAGATTACACACACAAACAGACAGCCTTTTAGTGAGAAGCCTTCCTGATGTTTTGAATTGGTTGAATCATCAAGGCTACTCTCACCAGCTACATAACCTCATTAGTTGAGAAGCTATCTCTGGAGGAAGTCTCAGTAGCTAAATATATTCTGTGTTCAATAAGAGTTCTATTCAGTTGCTTGGTTTTTTCATATTCAAAGTGCCTTACAACAAATAAATTTGTACCCAAGTGCTGTATTGCTGGAACTCTTTCTTTCAGGAGGCATGATTTAAAGAAGAAAATTGAGATATTTTGTAAACTATCAAAGGGCAAGTAAAACATAACCGTAGATTAAAGCCGATTTTCCTTTTGCTTTGCAGGAATTTATCCGAGAACAACTGGAGGTAAGCTTTTCCTTTATTTTGGGGTTTCACACAGAAGCACCACACATAAAAGGCTTCGTTGTTCCGTTTTCTTTTCCTGTTAATAACGTGTTTATGCATTAGCTACTCCAGACCACCGGAGGCATCCAAGGGACATTGCCACTGACTGTCCAGAAGGTGTTGGCATCCCAAGCCTGCCATGGTAAGCCCTTCAACATAGCAGTGATCAAACACCTCTGCATGCAGAGCCCTGGCAGGGCTGCCGGGATTACAAAAGAGGCAGAGGGTACATTTACTACTTGACTCTTGGAGAATACAATTTAGATCAAGAAACTGAATATACCCTTTTAAAAATCACTTTTACAAAAACAAAATCCCAACACAAAAATTTGACTATAGTGCTGCCTGACCTATATGAGTGGAGGAATAACTCCTAGAGGAGATGCATTTTGAGATGAATTTTGAATGAGCTGGGGAACATGGGTTCATAGCATGGAAAGGGGAATTCACTATAGGGAGAGTAAACAGCCTGTGCAGAGAGGCAGAACAGAAACAAGTTAGTTATATGAGAAGCAGCAAAGAGTATCAAGAAACTAGGCAGGTAAGAGAACAGAAACCTAGAAGGTCACAGCAAAACCTTTGGATTTGATACAGAAGGCATTAGAATTAGCAAGCGTTCTTTTTTTATCTTTCCAACTTTCATTTTAGGTTCAGGGGGTACATGTGCACTTTGTAACATGGGTGAGTTGCATGTCGCAGGGGTTTGGTGTACAGATTATTTTGTCACCCAGGTAATGAGCATAGTACCCAATAGGTAGTTCTGATCCTCACCCACCTCCCACCCTCCACCCTCAAGTAGGCCCAGGTGTCTGTTACCCCTTCTTTGTTTCTATGTGTATTCAATGTTTGGCTCCCACTTTTAAGTAAGAACATGCAGTATTTGGTTTTCTAATTCACTTAGGATGATGGCCTCTAGCTCTATGTTTTTGCAAAGGATGTGATCTCGTTCTTTTTTATGGCGACATAGTATTCCATGATGTATATGTACCACATTTTCTTTATCCAATCCACCATTGATGAGCATTGAGGTTGATTCCATGTCTTTGCTATTGTAAATAGTGCTGCAGTGAGCATAACACATGCATGTGTCTTTATGGTAGAATGATTTCTGTTTCTTTGGGCATATTCCCAGTAATAGGATTACTGGGTTGAATGGTAGTTTTGCTTTAAGTTCTTTAAGAAATCTCTAAACTGTTTTCCACAGTGGCTGAACTAATTTATATTTCCCACCAGCAGTGTATAAGTGTTCTGTTTTCTTTGCAGCCTCACCAGCATCTGTTATTTTTTAACTTTTTAATACCAGCCATTCTGACTGGTGTGAGATGGTATGTCACTGTGATTTTGATTTGCATTTCTCTAATGATTAGTGACATTGAACATTTTTTATATGCTTGTTGGCCATGTGTATGTCTTCTTTTGAGAAGTGTGTGTTCATGTCCTTTGCCCATTTTTTAATAGGGTTTTTTGGTTTTTGCTTGTTAATTTATTTAAGTTCCTTATAGATTCTGGATATTAGTTCCTTATATAGATTCTGGATATTAGACCTCTGTTGGATGCAGTTTGCAAATATTTTCTCCCATTCTGTAAGTTGTCCGTCTATTCTGTTGATAGTTTCTTTTGCTGTGGAGAAGCTCTTTAGTTTAATTAAGTCTCACTTGTCAATTTTCGTTTTATTGCAGTTGCTTTTAGAGTCTTTACCAGGAAATCTTTGCCAAGGCCTACGTCCAGAATGGTATTTCTGAGGTTTTCTTCTAGGGTTTTTGTAAAAAGATGGAATGCGCCCAGGCGCGGTTGCTTACGCCTGTAATCCCAGCACTTTGGGAGACCAAGGCGGATGGATCACCTGAGGTCAGGAGTTCGAGACCAGCCTGGCCAACATGGTGAAACCCCATCTCTACTAAAAACATAAAAATTAGCCAGGCGTGGTGGCGGGCACCTGTAATCCCAGCTACTCAGGAGGCTGAGGCAGGAGAATCACTTGAAACCAGGAGGTAGAGGTTGCAGTGAGCCAATATCACGCCACTGCACTCCAGCCTGGGTGACAGAGTGAGACTCCATCTCAAAATAATAATAATAATAATAATAATAATGAAGATGGAATGCTTCATGAATTTGCATGTCATCCTTGTGCACGGACCATGCTAATCTTCTCCGTATCACTCCAATTTTATTATATGTGCTGCCAAAGCGAACACCATTGAGGGTTCTTGAGCAGGGTAATATGATACAATATAGAAAATGGGGAGCTGGGTGAGGCCCTGTGAGGAAGGTGCCTGCTTCTCCTTCACCTTCCGCCATAATTGTAAGTTTTCTGAGGCCTCCCCAGCCATGCAGAACTGTGAGTCATTTAAATGGTCTTTCCTTTATAAATGACCGAGTCTTGGTCATTTCTTCATGGCAGTGTGAGAACAGACTCATACTCCTCTATCACCAAATGTCATCATTGCCACCTTCAAAATGTATCTTCGGTCCGTCTGATTCAGTCTGTCTGGCTCCTCCCTCATTTTTGCCACTGTTGAGCTCTCTTACTTAGTTCTTCACATCCACTCTGGCTCCCTTTCAAGCTGCTCTTCTCTCAGCACCCAGAGGAATCTTTTTGAAACATCCCTCCAAGCATGTTGTTCTTCTAACTAAAATGTGTCAATGATGACCCATTGCTCTTGGGATAGAAATGTGATTTTTTACTGTGGCCCACAAGGGTCTTCGTGATTTGGCCCCTGCCTGCCTCTCCAGTGTCACGTCATATCACTCTCCACCTTGTTCTTTACATCCCAGCCTGCTTTTTTGGTCTTCTGCTTCCTGTGTGCTAAACATTTGTCAGCGTCGGGGCCTCTGCACTGGCCTTCTCCTCTACCTGAAACACTTTTCTCTCCTTCTTCAATTAGCCACGTCTTTCTTAACCTAAAGTCTCAGCTTGAATACTACTTTGCCAGGAAAGCCTTCCTTAAGCTCCTAAACTGGGTTTGGTCTTCCTATTATATATTCATATCCTGTATTTTATAGCACCTATATTTATCATTTAAATTATTGTATAATTATCTGCTTCATGTTTGTCTCCCCTATTAGACCATAAGCGCCATGAGGATGGAAATTATCTGTCTCACTAACTGCCTGACAAAGCTCCCAATACAAAGTATATACTTAATAAATATTTGTTGACTGGGTAAATTGTGCATAAAGGCAGGTTATAACAATATGAGAGTTTAGATTAGGAAGATTATTATGGAAATTAGAAAAAAAGAAGCAAATAAAATGAACATTGTAAGGAAACAATCAGAGATTGCTATTGGACGATCCATGGAGAAAGATAACCCCAACTTCACAAACCCATAAAGAGTAGGCAAAAATACTGCTCTTGCCTCTTGGAGAAAAACTCTGAAAGCCAGATCCTAACAAGTTAAGGAATGCCTCCTACAGAGATTAGAAATACAAATACTCCGTAAGAAAAAGCTGAGAGACAGAAGGTCAGTCCTGAAGCCTTAGTTTCATCCATGGTCATAAGCACTAATTTATTTCCCTCTTTTTTTTTTTTTTTTTTTTTTTTTGAGAACGGAGTCTCGCTTTGTTGCCCAGGCTGGAGTGCAGTGGCGTGATCTCGGCTCACTGCAACCCCCGCCTCCTGGGTTCAAGTGATTCTTCTGCCTCAGCCTCCCAAGTAGCTGGGACTATAGGCGCGTGCCACCACACCCGGCTAATTTTTGTATTTTTAGTAGAGGCGGGATTTCACCATATTGGCCAGGCTGGTCTTGAACTCCTGACCTCATGATCTGCCCGCCTCAGCCTCCCAAAGTGCTGGGATTACAGGTGTGAGACACCATGCCCGGCCTATAAGCACCAATTTCAAGCAGGATTAAAGCTTCATTAAAGAAGCCTAAGAAACATGTTACTTTTTCCAGATATTTGGCAGTGACCCAAGGTCAGCATTGGTTTCCCACTATATACACTATAACCTTCTTGTTTCTGTCTTTCATTTAGGGGCCATTAAGTTTAATGATGGCCTGAGCTTACAGGAAAGTTGCCGCCTTATTGAAGCTCTGTCCTCATGCCAGCTGCCATTCCAGTGTGCTCACGGGAGACCTTCTATGCTGCCGTTAGCTGACATAGACCACTTGGAACAGGAAAAACAGGTACATTAATGACTAACAGGAGCAGGAGGGAGCAAAGTTTATTTTCTCTTTCTTTTCTGGCTTTTACTATGCAACTGTAATCTGTCTTAACCTTTCCAAAATAGGAGAGTTTTGCAAAATCTGCACTGGAAGTTTCACATAAAGCCTCACCCATTTCATTTTCCAGCTCAAATCCAAAATGGAACTTAGACTGAACTGTCAGGTCACCTACATAATGGCTTTGTATTTTAAAACTTAACACATGTACAGACTTATGTACCCTGAATATCTATTGCCTGCTGGCTCTAGGTTTCATAATATGCAGTTCTTTCTGAAGCTACTGAAAGTTGGTAGAAGCACAGCAAATTCACTGTTGGCAATATAGAGCCTCAACTTCCAGTTTCTTGATAGTACCTGCTGGAAACGGTGATCTGTGACTGTAGCTGGCCATCCCCAAGGATCTTGAGTTATGGTTTGAGGATCATCAGACAGGGACCCAAGCTTGGGGATCTCTACATTATGCTTTGGCCCTAATTACCCAGCAACCTGCAAACTACAATGTGGATAATGCAGAAAAGGCACAGAATGGCTTAAATGAAGAACTTCTGTCCTTGTTATAATCTTCAGTGAAGGAGAACATGGAGAACATAACAGGAATGTCCCTGTTGCTGCTTTCCAAAATCTTTCCTTTTTTTTTGTTTTTTGAGACGGAGTTTTGCTGTTGTTGCGCAGGCTGGAGTGCAATGGTGCGATCTTGGCTCACCGCAACCTCTGCCTCCCGGGTTCAAGCAATTCTCCTGCCTCAGCCTCCCGAGTAGCTGGGATTACAGGCATGCGCCACCACGCCCGGCTAATTCTGTATTTTTAGTAGAGACAGCGTTTCTCCATGTTGGTCAGGCTGGTCTCGAACTCCCGACCTCAGGTGAACTGTCCACCTTGGCCTCCCAAAGTGCTGGGATTATAGGCATGAGCCACTGCGCCCTGCCCAAAATCTTTTCTTTTGCTAACCTTTCCCTGCTAAGGGATATAAAATCTTTTCTTGCATGGAGTTTTCAGGTACTAATGTTGTCTGACTCAACTAGCTGATTTTACTTCATTAAAACCTCTTTGTTTCACAAAGAAAAATATGAAGAAAGTTTTTCTCCATTGCTGAGAGCTGGGAATCTAGACTTAAAGTTCTGAGTCCCCTTGGATCCTTAAAACAATCTGTAATCTCTATTGAATCCAGAAGTTAGAAATCTAAACAGATTATAACAGCCAGACTTTGGAAATATTTGTATGCTACCTACATTTTCAATTTTTTTTTTTTGAGACGGAGTCTCACTCTGTCGCCCAGGCTGGAGTGCAGTGGCATGATCTTGGCTCACCACAACCTCCGCCTCCCAGGTTCAATCAATTCTCCTGCCTCAGCCTCCTGAGTAGCTGGGATTATAGGCATGCGCCACCACACCCGGCTAATTTTTTTTTGTATTTTTAGTAGAGACAGGGTTTCACCATATTGGCCAGGCTGGTCTCAAACTCCTGACCTTGTGATCCGCCTGCCTTGGCCTCCCAGAGTGCTGGGATTACAGGTGTGAGTCACCTCGCCCAGCCTGTATGCTACCTACCTTTTCATATTGCTAATTGAAGTTATTCTTTCTTCCCATAGATTAAACCCAACCTCACTAAACTTCGCAAAATGGCCCAGGCCTGGCGTCTCTTTGGAAAAGCAGAGTGTGATACAAGGCAGAGCCTGCAGCAATCCATGCCTCCCTGTGAGCCACCATGAGAACAGAATCACTGGTCTAAAAGGAACAAAGGGATGTTCACTGTATGCCTCTGAGCAGAGAGCAGCAGCAGCAGGTACCAGCACGGCCCTGACTGAATCAGCCCAGTGTCCCTGAGCAGCTTAGACAGCAGGGCTCTCTGTATCAGTCTTTCTTGAGCAGATGATTCCCCTAGTTGAGTAGCCAGATGAAATTCAAGCCTAAAGACAATTCATTCATTTGCATCCATGGGCACAGAAGGTTGCTATATAGTATCTACCTTTTGCTACTTATTTAATGATAAAATTTAATGACAGTTTGATTGGTTGCTTGGTTTGTTATTTGAAGGGTGTGATTTTTGTTTTTGTACAGTTTTTTTTCAAGCTTCACATTTGCGTGTATCTAATTCAGCTGATGCTCAAGTCCAAGGGGTAGTCTGCCTTCCCAGGCTGCCCCCAGGGTTTCTGCACTGGTCCCCTCTTTTCCCTTCAGTCTTCTTCACTTCCCTATGCTGCTGCTTCATGTGCTACATCTCAGACTTAAAGAGTTTCTCTACTACAGTGAAAACATTCTCTAGGGTCTTTCATCAGGCCTTTAGTTATTTTAGGGATAAAAACTATTGATAAAAAGGACAAGGATAGAACAGAGAAAATTTAAAGTCCTGTTCCGGGTTTTTTGTTATGTTTTCTTTAAAAACTCAGAGACTGATGTTCAATATCCCAAACCAGTAAAATGGTGAAAATACTATGAGCTTGTTTTTTAAAATATGATTTTTTTTGGTACTTTATAAAGTATCTCTTTATGTGAAAGCAATTGTCATATCAAAACACAGCATACATACGTTCAACCTAACCAAATATCTTTACACTTTTTCTTTCAGGAGACAAGGGTTCTTTGGGTCCCTTTCAAACGGTATCTTGGTGTTATTACATTATGCCTATCTATTGCCCTTATAATATCACTTGGGACCAGGACTGATCGTTCTGCAAATGCTTGTTATGCCATTCTCAATCTATTTTTCCCGCACCTTTTCACATGATTTGTGGTTAATAGGACTCAACAGACTAAAATTGCATAGTAGAAAAAAAATGCAAAAAGCCAGCTGGTAATGTTTATTGCAACTGGGGTGCTATACAATTAGTAAGATGATGCAATGAGAATTTCTACTTTTGTATTTCCTGACCAGCCTGCTCAAAGTGGCTTTTATATCAATTGAATGATTTTCCTCATTTTTTAATACAGGAAACCAATTCGTGCTCATGGAAGAAAAGTTCCTTTGCCAGCAGCCTTGAAGTGAATCTTACAGGAGCAATGAAAGTATTGCATTCATTAGCGTCTGCCCCAGAGAAGGTTCAGAGAAAACCTTCACTTGTTTTCAAGGGGATCCTTGTAGATTTACGTAATTGGAATCCTGAAGAACAGGCCCTACTGTCTAAAAAATGGCTTTTATTCTTCTAAATACATATAAACGGATGTTTTATAGATGGGAAGACATGACCTTAGAAAGGAGAGAGTTTTCAGAGGATTTGCCAGGCTGTCAGGGGCTCTGCCTCCAGGCCCAGTGTGGCAGTGTGGCCTCAGGGCCTCCGCCTCCCTGCTTGAGGGCTGCATGGAGGCCAACTGTCCTGGGAGTTGTAAAAATCTTTTAAGGCCAGACCAATTTGAGGGATTTTAAAAAGTGTCTCAGTGCCTCTTATGATTTCAGAAGGTTTTGCTATATGTAATCCCAACTACTGTTTTCTTGAGAGTAGCAGAGGATTAGAAAAAGTCCTCCATAAATTATGTAACCGGCCTTCCTGACTAGCCTGACTCAAGCAATGTAAGAGATAATTATTCTGTTTTCATAATTTATAAGTGTGGGGGCATGCCTCAGCATAAAAACAACCTATTAGGGAAAAATATCTAATAGATTACCTTTATCGCCTGTTAGGGTTTTATGTTGTTTTTAACTCAGATGCCATAAGAACAAAGATACATGTAATTTATAATAGTAATCATTAATACCTATATTGTGCTTTAAGGTTTACAAAATAATTTTTCTCATACTTTATCTTAGTTTAGTTTCTTGACAGTCCATGAGGTAAGGTGGTAGCTTTATCACCATTTTACAAAGTGGGAAACGAAGGTTCCTCTTAGGAACCTAGTTGTCACCTTTGTATAATAAAACTTCGAAGCTCGGAGCTGTTAACTGGTTTGCTGAAGGCTTAGCTGTAAGAGCCAGAATTCAGACCCAGGTCTGAGTGACTTCAAACTGCACAGTCCTTCCCATTATTACCCATATGCTATCCCTTATATTTTTAATTTATTAGGAATTCATTCATTTATAAACTTGGTGATTCACCTTTATTAGATTCTGGTCGCTGAAGGCTTTAGTAACTTCAGAGTAAAACTTGAGAGATGAGATGTAAAATGCAGCCATTCTTGAGAGTTCCTTTTTCTGTAACATTCATCAACACTTCATTGAGAAGTGAAGGTTCCTATGGCTGTCTCTACCTTCAAGAGGCTTAGCTTTAGTCACTGAGAAAGACAAGGAAACTAATGATAGAATATAGTAGCTTCTTCTGGCGTTAGGTATCACAGAGTCACAGCTAGTTACAGCTAGCCCTTTATTATTGAAAGAAGAGGAGCTAGCAGTCCCACTATCAGAATTAAGACTAGAGATGGTAATAGGAGCTAGTATCAGAAAAGCTTAAGGCAAAGCATAAAGTGTAGGCTAGAATGAAGCTGGAGAATGGGGAGGGGGCTTGGGTAACATCCAGAACCTGGCTGGGGACCTGGAACTACATGAGATGTAAGAATGGAGAGGTTCTAGCAGTCAGAGGTCAGGTACAAATGAACAGCTGGGATCTGCGCATGGCAGACAGTGAAAAAACCCAGGCAAGCAAAATGGTCAGAGCAGAAAGGGGCCCAAGGCCACGTTCTTGAGATGTGGAGGGGGCTGAGGAAGCCACGCCAAGTAAGGACAGATGCAGCTCAGCAGTTCCTAGCGAGCCCTGACAAGCCAGCTCAGCTGAAGCTTCGGGTGGGAGCCAGTCATGGCACAGTGGAGTGAAGGAAGAGCAGTTTCAGGCACCCAAAACCTGACCCCCACGACCTGTTTTCCACCTGAAGAGCCACCCATTCCATCCAAACCCTTGGCAAAAGTCTGCTAACAGAGAGAACCGGCCAGTATGCTGGCCAGTCGCGATCATGCCTGTCTTTACCCTCTAAGCTGAAGCTGCTCATCAACGGTGAGATGGCAAAAAGGTGGGTCCAGAAGAGGGGAAAAGAAGGGAGTCTGTGAAAACAAAATGCTGAAGAATCTGCATCAAATAAACCCTTCCTTCCTTCCTTTTTCCTTCCATCCCTCTCTTCATTCAGCAAATCTTCAGTGAGTTCCTTTCTAAATGTATTGTATCAGAACTTGTGGGGGATATAAAGAAAAAAAAGAGGTTATCACATGGCTTAGGATGTTTCCAACCCTTGGATCATTTTCACCCCAGGCCCATTAGTTACAGAGCACTCAGTCTTACCCAGAAGCATCGGATATAGTCCAGGCAACCGGATCCAAGCGTGTGGGAATCGCAGTGTGCTGCATGTGGGAATCTATCAGGCCAGGATGATTCAAGCAGCAGCCTGCAGAAGTGGGATTTGGCCAGCCTTGCCTGACTCTGGCCTTCCAACTTGCTCTTATCTACTTCCAAAGTAAGGAATGCCCCATGATGGGCCGAGCAGTCCAAAAAAAGTGGCTTGGAGTTAGCTACCGCAATTAGCAGTTTCTCATTATTCAACACTGCATTACCTCTTTTTCATATTAACTGCAGAATTTTATTTTTATGTATTTATTATCCTTCCAAACCCAGTGTTGTAGGAAGAATATTACATATAAATGATAACTTAGGAATCTTGTCAAGTTTTTGTTTCTTCAGCACTAAGTAGCTTATTTTCTAGGCAGGTCTTAATTCTAAATGTAACATGCTTGAAAAAAACACTATTGAAAGGATCCGTCTCTTCAGCATAGTATTTAATATACATATCAGGCAATCACCATCTCAAGCATGATTAGACTCAAGTGCTGCCCTCCATCGTGTGAGGGATGCTGGGAGACTGGAAGCTTAGACTTTAGCTCTTTAAGTTGGTGCAAAAGCAATTGCAGTTTTTACTATTAATAATAATAATTGCCTAGCCATTGTGCAGTACCTTGCAAGAGCTCTTTGGCAAATGAAAGAATAATTCAAAGCAAAGTAGGCCAGATATAAAACACTTCCAAATCACATTTCAAAATTGTTCTTTCATGTCAACTAGGTGCATGTCTGCTAAGGGAGTTTTTGCAAGGACAGGTGGATAGTGTGAGGCCTTTACAATAATCACATCACCATCTGGTACTATCTGTATGGCAGAGCAGTTCTGATGTAGTTGTAGTATTATAGATCATTACAGAGTATGCCAGTCATTCCATGATGGAACTGTGACTGGCAGCCTTCATTAGCCCAAAGACTGATGCAACAGATTGCTTTGAGAAATAGTTTTGAAGCACATCCATGAAACATATGATCCTATGGGTTCCAGCATTGATTTCTTTGAGGTATCATTTTACACTTCAGTTTTTCCTGGTAGAGTATTTTTCAGAGATGTCTCTTCTGAGGCTAAATTAGGAATTTCTGTTCCTTATTCAAGTTCCAAGAATTGTGCCTTTCCTGCCCTCTGCCCAAACTGGAAGATAGAAACCGTGGGAAAAAAGTGTCTTTACAAACTGCACTGTTATCTAACTTGGTTTATTTAGCATATTGAGGAAGACTTTCACATCCATGGAATCCTAGTTCTATTAATTCTCTCCAAGCTACAACAGTTGTTTTTTTGTTTGTTTTTTTCCGAGTTTCTCGGTTCCGCCAGCAAGGCAGGGGTGGGAGGTGGGCACCCCTGATACCAAGGCTGACAGGTAGTGAGTTGATGTGGAACTTCTGTTTCCTCCTGTTCAGTTCAGGTTCTCTCTTTCTGATACTTACCCCTCCTCAAATAGGGAAACGGAGAGAGGGGAAATAAGAAGATGAGCCTTAATAGGGTTTACTTAATTGGGGTCATAAAGATTCTAAAAAGTATGCATTCCTGCAGTTCTGTTCTAGGCACTGTAAGAGCTGACCAGAAAGAGAGCTTCTACCCTTATAACCTTCATCCAACTCAGTCATGCCTGGGAAGGATGTTGGTGCTAATTTTAGACACAGAGACTAAGATGGACAAAGGACAAGTATCATAAAGCATTTTTGGAGCCAGGAACAGATTTAAGTTCCTTGCCTCACTGCTGCTCTTACTCCAAACCACACAATTGTACCCAAGTGAATTGCTGTTAGAATTGGTGCCTTTGGAGGAGACAATTGCTCGTAATTGGTAGCTACAAGCCACTTCACTGAGAAAGCGTGGGGTCTTAGATGCTTTAAGAAATAATAGAAAGACTGAGCCTGAGTGAGTCAGGCTCTTCTGAGTCATACAGCTTTTAGGTCAGTGTAAAATGCCGACTTTCTGAGGTCTTACTTTTTTCCCCTCTCTGGAAGACCTAAGGCAAAGATCGCTCTCAAAGAGATATCAAAGAATAGAGACCTTTCCCTCAGAACCTACCTCTGCCCAGTGTTAACCAAAATGTGGTTTCAAATCACCTGTTCAAAGCCCACAGGCTATTTGTTAAACATGCAGATTCTTAGTGCTCCCTCCACCCACACAGACACTGCACAAGAGGCCCTGCTTTGGACCACTAGTTCCTAAACATGGCAGAAAATCTGGATCACCTGGGAGACTTTTTAGGTTAAAAACCGGAAACAATATGTAAGCATAAACATGTCAACAAAATTAGAGGATGTCCCTCTGCTTGCTGTGCTTGGTATTATACTTCTATACTGTTTCCCTATGCGTGTACATATAATTTTGTTTTGTTTTTGTGAGACAGAGTCTCACCCACTGTTGCCCAGGCTAAAGTGCAGTGGCCCAATGGCACTGCTCACTGCAACCTCTACTTCCCAAGTTCAGCCTCCCGAGTAGCTGGGACTACAGGTACCCACAACCACACCTGGCTAATTTTTGTATTTTTAGTGGAACTAAAAATTTTATTATAGTATTTTAGTTTCGCCATTTTGACCAGGCTGGTCTCAAACTCCTGACCTCAAGTGATCTGCCCTCCTCAGCCTCCCAAAGTGCTGGGATTATAGGCGTGAGCCATTGCGCCCAGCCAGTGTTGTTTTATGGAAATGAGTCCGTATTATGCATATTGCTCTGCAGCTTGTTGTGTTTTTTTTCCCCAGCTTGTTTTTAACTAACAGAGTATCAAATGGACTTCCTTGCAAATCTGTCCCATTCTTTTAACACCAGGATCACAACTCAAATGCCTACAGGGGTTAGGCAGATAACATAAATGAGTTAAATGGATCCAGTAGGAACTGCAGAAAACTGGAGATGTTCCATCCAATGGCATCAGATGTTACCCAACCACAAACTAACTACTGCCATTTGGAAATGTTGGCCCAGAGTTGCCAAATTTGAGTTTTCAAGAAAAGCAAGAAATCTGAATTTTTGAAATGTGCAATCTCCAGATTTTTAAATATTGGTAACAAATTCACATTAAATGCAGTGAACCAGCCCAAATGCCTTCAATCCAGACACTGCCCCTCCAGCCATCCTTTTGAAACTTCTATTGCCATGTATAATGTTCCACGGTGTAACTGTCAATACTTAACCTTTCTCCTATTGCTGGACACTTAGGCTATGACATTACAACTACTACACTGAACACTCTGTATAAATCTTTTTGCTTGTACAAATAATTCTAGAAATACAGCTTCCAAATTGCCCTCTAAAAGGCTGTACCAATTTATAGTCCTATAAACACTACATGAGACTATCCTTTTCTGGGAAGCTTTAAACAGATTCCCAGGTAGTAACCCTGAGATCAGATGCAGTAGGACTGAGATGAAACCCAAGACTGTGTGAGTGAGTGATCGGAATCACTCTCAGGTGATTCTGATGATCAGCGAGGTTTTGGAACTACTGTTTTAGACTATGAACAAACTTTGGGGCCAGGAGCAGTGAATTGTAAAGGAAACTATACTTTCATTTGTACTTGTTATTTTTTTAGAGACAGAGTCTTGCTCTATCATCCAGGCAGGAGTGCAGTGGTACAATGATAGCTCACTGAAGCCTTGAACTCATGGGCTCAAGTGATCCTCCCACCTCAGCCTCCAGCATAGCGAGGCCACAGGCATGTGCCACCATGTCTGGCTAATTTTTTAAAATATTTTTTTGTAGAGACAGGATCTTGCTATGTTGCCAGGCTAATCTCAAACTCCAGGCCTCAAACAAGCCTCAAACAAGCCTCCCACCTCAGCCTCCCAAAGTCCAGGATTACAAGTGGGAGCCACTGCATCTGGCCAGTACTACCATGTTGTACACTTTTCCCGCTAACTACAGCCCTCTATGCAAACACAAAAAAGGCTCTGCTGCTGCTGTTTCAAGCAGTTCTGTCAGAGTAGGACAATAAATAAACCAACTATGGAACCTTCAAGTGGCTTTTATTGGTAGAGCCTAGAAAAAGTGTCATAGCCATTTCTGAGCAAAAATCTGTATCCCAGTAAGGTATTCAGTGTTATGTTTAACACACTACTGAACCAGAAAGTTTAAGTTCCTGACACAGACGCAACCAGGTCACTAAGAGGCTCCAAAATCAACAAGTTAAGCCCTGCTGCTCTGTTAAGATCTGAAAGGCAAGACACAGTCCTGGATGTGTGCCCTTGTTACGGGGTGACTAAAAAGGCAGGCAACAGTATCAAGGATTTTTTTTTTAGGTGGACTCCTGTGCACTCCCACATTGCAAGGATGTGCTTCAGCAGCAACACTCAAGTCTCCTCTTCATTCTGTATCTGCCTAAGCAATCTGCTTAGGACACGTGTGGTCGGTCATAAAACATGATCATCAGGATGGTAGAGTTCACTCATCAGGCGGTAGATGTAGGAAGGTGCATTCCCACCAATGTTGGAGATAAAGAGGGTAATGAGCTCTGGGGGAACGTAGTCAAACACAGGGCAATGCACGCTGACCTTCTCCAGAATGTCCCCTGAAAGGCAAGCACACATGCTAAAGGTAAAACTGAGGCTCCCTCTCTCATAATTAAGTAGCATATAGATTCCAGGCTCGAGAATGCAGGCATATTAGCTCCCCAAGGACGGGAAGCTATGGAAAAATGCAAACCAGAAGAGATGACTTCAGATCATGACAATCCCTGCTTACAACTCTCCCATGCCTCTGCACAGCCCTCAGAATAAAATTCAAACTCAGGATTGAAGTTTAAGATCTGGGCCCTCCCTGACACACCACATGAATTACAATTTGGACCACTCTCCCCCTTGCTCATTACTGTCTAGCCATGTATGGCCATCCTTTTCTAACTGGCTAAGCCCCTGCACCAGCTCATAGAAAACTATGATCTTCATATGGTGGACTCTGTTCATTCAGGACTCAGCTGAAATGTCATCTCATTAAGACCCTTCCTCAATCTCAGGCCCCTAGCCACTTTCTACCACATCAGCCTTGCTTGTCCTCAGGCATCCCATGACCTGATACTTTCTCATCTGTCTTCCACAATAGAATGTGTGGGAACAGGGCCTTATCTTTTTCATTCATTGTTTTATCTTCAGTGCCTAGAAGAGTGCTGGATACATTGTAGGTGCTCAATAACTATTTCTTGAAGATTGAATGTTTATTTAAATAAAGGGATGAAGTCAATCAACTTCCAAGAGGAACTAGGACCCCAACCAACTACTATGCGTTGCTCTCAGATGGTGTGTAAGGCCACCCTTGCTGATGAGGCTGCACGCGTAATGAGCTGAGCTGCTGCCTTCAGAAGAAGCCAGAGAAAAGAACCCCAAGACATGAGACTATCCAGGCTACAGGTGAGTTTTCTAAGGAGGAACATTTCACAACCTGCTTCCTTTGGGAGTCAATTCACCAAAATGACTCCTTATAGCAGGAAAACAGGTACATTTTCCCAACTGGTTGTTGTCTATATCTCAAACAGCATGCAAAGCCAAACCCAGACAATGCTAAATGATCCAACCCACAATAGCCCCAACAAATCTAAAATATATTTGTCTCAGAACAAATTAACATGGACTTGGTCAGGTCCTCAAGCACTTTGAGCTTCTAAAGAAAACAGTCCCCACAAGAAGTATGATAAAAAACACAACTTGACAGCATTCAGTTCTACTGACCAACAAAACAACAAAAAGACCAAAACACATGCACACACAAACCCCGAATACACACAACACATGCACGCATGCACACACAGCTTCTGTACCTTCTGTGAATGGCAGGACTTCTTCAGGAGCCACAAACTTATGAAATGAGTCTTCTTCATTGGGGAACTAAAAAGGAAAAAATTTATAAAAACTAGAGACCCAGCAATTCCACTCCTAGGTATGTACCCTAGAGATGAAAACATATGTCCACACAGAAAACTTATACACAGATGCTTATAGCAGCATTATTCACAAAAGCCAAAAGCTGGAACCAACCCAAATGCCCATAAACAGATGAATGGATTAATAAATTGTGGTATGTTCATATAATGGAATATTATTCAGCCTCGAAAGGAAATTCTGACATTACAACATGGATGAACTTTGAAAACATCATGCTAAGTGAAAAAAGTCAGGCACAACATGTCACATATTATATGATTCCTTTTATACAAAATGGGCAAATCCATAGAGACAGGAGCAGATTGGAGGAGATGGGGAGAAGGACAAATAGGGAGAGATTACTTAATGGGTACAGGGTGTTTTTCTACAGTGGAGAAAAAGTTTTGAAACTAGAGAGTGGTGGTTGTACAATGCTGTGAATGTACTAGATATCACTAAATTGTATACTTTAAAATGGTTAATTGTATGTTATGTGAATTTCACCTCAATTTAAAAAATAGAGACCTATAAATAGGTTGATGTTTTCAAAGCAAATAGCTTCTATCACTGATGAAATGGCTCTTCACTTAGTCCTTGCTTGTATTCAGGTTACAAAGGACAGGCCCTGCAACAATAACAAAACTGATTCTATGATCCTACTTTCAACCTGCTTGGCATTTTCAGAAATGGTCAGGCGACAGGGAGTGGTGGCAATCGTAAGCAAAGGACCTTTCCCAACTACATATTGTCCTTACAATCTTGACTTCCTAAAGTTGACAGCTGAGAACTCTCAACTGTTTTACTGAATCAAGACTTCTGTGGTTCTTTCCAGCCTCCACTGGGTGTAATCCATTGAGTAAATGCAGATAAATGGAGGCCCTGGAGTGAGGTGGTTGAAGTCCCAGAGTTCAAGCCTACCCTTTGGCTTCCTTCTTTTCTGCTGGCTTCTAGCTAGAGACAGACACACTTACCTGTGGAGAAAGTTTGAACATAGGTGCACAGACGATGAGTGGGGTGGAATGGTGTTTTGCTGCCAGTGCCAGAGTGTGAGTTCCTGTCACAGCTCTCAGGGCCCCATTGGCCAGGATGGTCTTCGTGCCAATGATCACCTTTGGGACAAGACAAAAAATGTGAGCCATCCTGGGGGTGGAGCCCTAAAAGGGCCACTGGCCACAAAAAGCTAAATGCTTAGACCTCAGAATTGGTATCGTGAGGGGTCACAGACTGGTAGAGGTGAAGGGATCCCTGGCTCAATACAAGTTCTAGCTTAAAAGTAGGTTTCCAAGGAAAGAATGAATGTAAAATGGGACAAGAAACTGCAAAACCTACTGCTCTCAGTCCCATATTTTCTGGAAATTGAGATGCCATACCTTCTGAGAAGCCAGGAATCTTTTTCATTCACTATCCACAACTGCCAAGCTCTTTGAGCATAAGGCAGGAGCCCTGTAGCCAATCCCTAGAAACTGACACTCTTGCCTTAGTTCTATTTAATACTTCATTCTTTTCAATGCTTCAACCAAATTTAGAGGCTACTCCAAGAGAGGAACAATGATGCAGAAAAAAGGGAAAAGAAATTCAGTTAACAGATTAAAAAGGCCTAAGTATGTACTTTGAAAGGTGCTAGAAACTTTATTCTCTCACCGTGGATATTACAGGAGGAGATAAAAATCAATATTTTAGAAACATAATCTTCATGAATTCAACATAACTCCAGATATACCCACCTTGTTGACTCTTGACATAACGGCAAAAATGGCAGCATCAGTCATGACAGTTGTCTCAATACCTGCTTTGGACAAATTCACAGCCATTTCATGACCCTGCAATGGGAGGGAAAGGCTGATTCTAAGAGAAAGAGTGAGAAATAGTGAAAAGTGCTCTCAAATGTAACTGGATCTGGGGAATTGTGTGATATGGGCATATCCAGCACATAATTTCCAATAGATAACTCATTTTTCGGACAACTGATTTTTCAGACTCTCATAGCTCTGGTAAGCTGTAGGGAAGCCCAGGGGAAGCTAATAAATGTCTAATGCTCCACAGCAGCACCAGAGCAGCCATAAAACTGGAAATACAACATGCATGTATAATATAATCACGATTGCTGACAAGATAGCTCCTGGCTCATTATTTTAAAACAACCTGCATCCTTACATATTTCCTTTTTGAGACCTATTATTTACTTAGGATCAAGTGAGGTCAGACCAAGCATTAGTCATCCCCAAGGTAATTTACCCTGCTTTGATTCCTAAAAGAATCAAGTTATCTTTCCTTGAACCCAGCAGCTCGCCATCTTTTTTTTTTTTTTTGAGACAGAGTCTTGCTCTGTCGTCCAGGCTGGAGTGCAGTGGCGCTATCTTGGCTCATTGCAACCTCTGCCTTCCAGGTTCAAGCAATTCTCCTGCCTCACCCTCCAGAGTAGCTGGGATTACAGGCATGTGCCACCACGCCCAGCTAATTTTTGTATTTTTAGTGGAGACGGGGTTTTGTCATGTTGGCCAGGCTGCTCTCGAACTCCTGACCTCAGGTAATCCACCCGCCCAGCCTCCCAAAGTGCTGGGATTACAGGCATGAGCCATCGCTCCCGGCCCCAACTTTCTTAAACCACTATTTATGAATGTTCACAGGACGAACACCTTGAAAATTCACTTAATGTTTTACTTGATCTTCTCAGTGTCTCAAAGTCTTGCTTATCAATTCAAGGTTGGAATGGCCCTACCCATCTCTCGTTTATTTCTTCTTCATTTTTCATTTTTCTTAGTAGCAACTCCAGCAGTCTCCTTACCTGGCAGAAAGGAGCACACTCTGCTACAATGACATGGAATTTCCTCTTTCGGGCAGCCTCTTTGAGGAAGGCCTCTACTGTTCGGGAGAAGCCAATGGTCATGATCACCTCATTGGAGTGAATGTGCTCCAGAGCCTGGGCTGCAATGTTCTCCATTGTCCCTTCTGTAAGAACGGTTTTGCAAAAAAAAAAAAAAAAAAAAAAAAAAAAATATATATATATATATATATATATGAAATTGCTATATCACAAACACACATTACGCGTATACGGAAAAAGATGTCTGCCCTTCACATGCACTGCCCACCTAGCAGACCCTGGTACCACAGGGTTAATGTGCTTAAAGTGAAATGTCACAATTTCTTTTTTTTTAATAGAGACAGGGTCCCACTATGTTGCCCAGGCTGGTTTTGAACTCCTGGTCTCAAGCAATCCACTCACCTTGGCCTCCCAAAGTTGTGGGATTACAGGTGTGAGCCACCATGCCCAGCTATGTCACAATTTCTTAAAAGCCCCACTCCTCTGGGATTTTCTGCCTGCCCTCTTCCAGAAGTACCCCTACCTATGAACCACCTCTGTCACTACAGAGCTCCTTACAACTGATTTTGAAGACAGTAGATTCAGCCAAGGAATGGCAATCTGGGAAATCCTAAAGTGCTGAGAATAGGGTAAAGAGAGCTTCGGCCTAAAAGAAGTCTTCCTCCAAAAGGTGGCCACAACACTTCTACATGAGAGAGACTGGCCAGAGAAGAAAAAATGGGGGAGCAATTTGGAAGCAGCTTCTTCATCCTCTGATTACAATGAATATCTGCAAGTCACTTGGACCGCAATGACAAGGGGGATAGAAATGGTATACGTGTACGTGTGTATAAAAATTCAGATAGTGAAGGAGGTCTATCGACCTTGGCTCTCTAGGGAGTTCATTTTGTTTCTTTACAATGAAAATAAAACTCTGTCCTAATAGAGTCTGTTCCACTCCACAGATCTGTAGTCTATCAAGGGTTGGTCTGTAAGGAAAAGTAGAGAGGATTACTTTGGTCCTGTCACCTGTTGCAACATTTCCTAATCAGGAAGGAGGACAAACCTCTGAGAACCAGAAGACAGCTAATCTCCCATCTCTGCTAATGAACAACCTTCAGAGGCTTCTGTTCCCTTATGTGCCTGTGACCAGTCCCATTTTCCCAGCGATCAGGCCTCTTACCCAGCTCCACTAGCAGCTCATTAATCGCCTCAATGATGTTGGACTGGAGTTGGGCATAATGGAAGCTGAAATCCTCGTTTAGGCCTCCGGATGTCAACAGTTTGTGCAGGGACTCCTGCTGATCACTCTCGTCGCTGCGTCCATGGAGTCTATAGAGGCAACAAGACCCAAAGAGAGAGGTGGGGAGGAGTGGTCAGGCAGGTAACAAGGGCTGTTCAGCTCCAATAAAGTCTCCGAGCAGGTAGAGGGGCCCGTGCAAAAAGTGTCACTGGATCCAACCAGGAGCCCAGGACGTGAGCCTGACCTGCCATACTCCTCCCGGATAATCTTGAGCACTCTCCGCACCATGTTGCCCACGGTGGTCTCGGAGGGCTGAGCGGCCGTCATCCTCCTGCCCTCTCTGCGGATCAGCTCCATCAGCTCCCCTACAGTCCAAAAGAGAGAGGATAAGAGGAGCCAACGCGAAGTGAGGCCTGGGAAATTTTCAGCCCTGGGATCGGGAACAGACAGGGGCCAGGTTCGCCGGCGGAGGCAGGCCGGCCTCACCCGCGTTGCTCCAGCGGTGGTCCGTGATGATCTGGCGCAGCAACCCTAGGGTCTCCCGAGCCATTTCCTCGGAGCTGCGCGGCCCACCACCCCGCTTCAGGGTCTCCACGAAGCTCTCGATCCTCTCTGACAACTCCGAGCCCTTCGCTGCGGATCCCGGCATCTTTAAGGTAGCTGCCTTCAGCCTTCACCGGCGGAATCCACACCTGCCAGACCACACAGTTTGCACTTCCGGGGCGGGCGAGGTCGGCTTCCGCTGTGAGGGGATGGGGGGAAACCTCAAGTTTGAGTGGAAGCCGGCTACGCCCTTCGTTGCCGATCTCCCGCCCCCTTCCTCTGCCTGAGCCAATCAGAGACGTGGGGCTCGGGTTGTTCAGTTATAACCGGGCGTCCGCGCGCCCCCGCGCCTCGGGGGCTGGAGGATCGGAAGCGGCCTTTCTTGGCTCAGCCGACGGTGAACGGAAGTAACCCGTCAGGCCTGTAGAGGGTGGCTGGTCCCGTTGCTATGGGAGCAGCAAGTCTCTACGCGCCCCTCACCGCGACTTAAGGCTACACTGAAGAAGTTGCGGCACTCCCTCCTGTCTTCCCAGCTCGGTGACTGCCCGAGCTGTCACTCCCGAGTGTCAGCTGACACTGACGCTCTGAATGCATGTCCAGGGTCGGCTGCCCCTTGGGCAGACGTCTCACTTTTGTTCTGTTACATTGCTTGGTACCGTTTGCGCCTGTGTCTAGGAGGTTCATGTCTCTGAAAACAAGGACGATATCTTTTGTTGCTTTTGTATTCTCAAGGCCTAACACGTCTAACAGAAGACGGCGAAATTAGAGATGAGGAAGATTAAGGAGATTCAAAGTGGGAGCCAATACAGAAGCAAAGATGACATCCTCTGATTTGGACAGAATTGTCCTCCTACAGAGAGGCCAGAGAGTATAACATAATACCAAGAGTTACCATTTACTTAAAGCTTACTGGTTCTTGGGCACTGTGTGTGAATTGTCTCAGTTAATAAGGTCTGAAATAGGTCCTCTTATCCCCATTTTACAGATTGGGAAACAGACCCACAGAATTTAAGCAGTTAATAAAGGATTGGGTTCATACTTAAATCCAGGTCTACCTGAACCCAAAGTATGTGTGTAATAGAAATCTCTATTTCCTTAAGATAAATTCTTCAAAGTGGAATCCATAGGCGAGCACATTTTAGACTTTTGTTACAATTAACAAATTGCCCTCCAAAAAGATTATGTCAATACCAAAGTTAGCCAAAGGTAGTACAAAGAAAAGAAAATTACAGATTAATATCTCTCATGAACATAGAAGCAAAAATTGCAACAAATTATTAGCACATCAAATCCTGCAATACATAAAAAAAGAATAATATGTAATTACAAAGTGAAACATAAACCTGGAATGCAAAGCTGATTAAACACTTAAAAATCAATGTAATATGCCATATTAACAATCTGAGAAGTAAAACCACATGATCATGTCAATTGATGCAGGAAGAAACATTTGACAAAATTCAATATTCATGGTACAAACTCTCAGAAAACTAGAACAAAAGGGAACTTCCTGAACTCGATAAAGGGTATCTACAAAATCCTACACCTAAAAATCATACTTCACAGTAAAAGATTGCTTTCTCCCTAAGATCAGGACAAGGCAAGGATGTCTACTTTCACCACTCCTATTTAAATTATACGTGAAGTCCTAGCCCTTGCAATAAGGCAAGAAAAAGAAAAAGCATACAGAATGGAAAGAAACTGTCCCTGTTCACAGAAGACATGATAGTGTACACAGAAAATCCCAGAGTCAACAGCAACAAAAACAAAACCTCCTAGAACATAAGTTTAGCAAGGATACAAAAACTATATTTCTATGTATTAGCAATGAGCATCAGAAATTGAAGTTGAAAATACAGTTGCTCTAAAAAGCCATAAAATATGTGTCAATTTTGCTGTGTTTTAGTTTTTATTTATTGATTTGTTTGTTTATTTTGAGACAGGGTCTCACACTGTTGCCCAGGCTGGAGTGCAGTGGCATGCTCACTGCTCACTGCAGCCTCAACCTCCCCTGGCTCAAATAATCCTCCCACCTCAGCCTTTTGAGTAGCTGGGACTACAGGCACACACCACCATGCCTGGCTAATTGTGTGTTAATTTTTAAATGTCTTTAAAATTGTATCAATTTACATGCTGGCTAGCATTTACCATATTATAGCCAATTTTGGATATTGTCGTTATTTTTTCATATATCAAGTCATTAAGAAAATAAGGTATATAGGCCAGGCATAGTGGCTCATGCCTGTAATCCCAGCACTTGGGGAGGCCAAGGTGGGCAGATCACCTGAAAGTCAGGAGTTTGGGACCAGCCTGGCCAACGTGGGTAAACCCTGTCTCTACTGAAAATACAAAAATTAGTGGGGGGTGGTGGCATATGTCTGTAGTCCCAGCTACTAGGGAGGCTGAGGCAGGAGAATAGCTTGAACCTGGGAGGTGGAGGTTGCAGTGAGCTGAGATTGTGTCACTGCACTCCAGCCTGGGTGACAGAGCAAGACTGTGTCTCAAAAACAAACAACAACAACAGCAACAAAAAAAACAAGGTATATAGTATTTTATATATACTAAAGAATTTATATGTGTGTGTATGCAAGTTATAAAGCATGACGACAAACAGGTTGAGGAATGTGAACCAATCCCTCACTTTGAAACTAAAATATTCGAATTAATAGAGATAGAAAGCAAAGCTGTGTTGGCCAGGCACAGTAGCTCACACCCGAATCCCAGCACTTTGGGAGGACAAGGTGGGAGGATGGCTTGAGCCCAAGAGTTGAAACCAGCCCTGGCAACATATCAAGACCCCCAGCTGTACAAAAAATTTAAAAATTAGCTAGGTGTGGTAATGCATGTCTGTAGTCCCAACTACTTGGGAGGCTGAGGGGGGAGGATCTCTTGAGCCTGGGAGGTCGAGGCTGCAGTGAGCTATGTATGATCCTGCAGTGAGCTATGATCCTGCCACTGCACCCCAGCTTGGGCAGCAGGGCAAGACCCTGTCTCAAAAAAGATAAAGGAAAGAAAGAAAGTAGAACTGTGATTGCCAGGGTCTGAGGGGAGGGAGAGAGTTGCTGTTTAATGGCTACAGAGTTTTAGTTTTGCAAGTTGAGAAGAGTTCTAGAGATAGATGGTGGATAATGGTTGTGCATTTATTTATTTATTTATTTATTTATTTTTTGAGACAGGGTCTCACTCTGTCACCCAGGCTGGAGTGCAGTGGCACGATCTCAGCTCACTGCAAGCTCCGCCTCCCAGGTTCACGCCATTCTCCTGCCTCAGCCTCCCCAGTAGCTGGGACTACAGGTGCCTGCCACCACGCCCGGCTAATTTTTTTGTATTTTTAGTAGAGACGGGGTTTCACCATGTTAGCCAGGATGGTCTCTATCTGACCTCGTGATCCGCCTGCCTCGGCCTCCCAAAGTGCTGGGATTACAGGCGTGAGCCACTGCACCCGGCCTGGTTGTGCATTTATATTTCACAACAATGTGAATGTACTTCATGCCAGTTTAGTTTCACTAAACTGTACACTTAAAAAGGTTAAGATGGTAAAATTTATGTTCCGTGTTATTTTACAATTTAGGAAATATGTGGTATATTTCACTTTTTTCTGCTCAATATGACATTCATAAAATTTATCCATGTTGTTACATGTACTTGTTATTCTCTTATTTGCACTGGTGAATTTGTACTGGTAAGAACTTGTAGTTCTCTTATTTGCACTAATATTTCATGTGACTGTAGCATAATTTATGTATTCATTTTTTTCAACAGATATTTGGGTTGTTTCCAATCTTTTTAGGGGGGTGGGTGAACATAAACTATAAATAGTCCTGTGTATGTCTTGGCACTTATATAAGTGGAACAGCTAGATCAGAGGCTATACGAATGTTCAACTTTACAAATAGATCTAGTAGTACAAAGTGGTTCAATTAATGTATGCTCCCTCCAGCAATATTTAAAGACTTTCAGCTGACCTACATCCTTACTGACATGTGTTATTACCAAACATCTTATTATTTGGGAATCAGGTAGGTATAAAAGTATATTTTACTGTGGTCTTAATTTGCATTTTCCTGATTACTGTTCATATTTTCATGTGTTTGTTGGCCATGAGTTTTTTGTGAATTGTTTGTTGTGCCTTTTACCTACTGTTTTTGGCTTAAAAATTTTTCCAAGTAGATTTGTAAGAGTTCTTTTTATATTCTAGATACTAATCTTCTTTCAATTATTTATTATATAAATAAGTGTCTTCTCCCAATTATGGCTTGTCTTCTTTACTTTGAGATGTCTTTGAACAGAATTCTTGATTTTAATGTGTTAAAATGTATCAACCTTGTCTTTTTTACATAATGCCTTTTCTGTCTTATTTCAGAAATTCAGCCAAGTGCAGTGGATTTGCCAGGTGTTGGGATTACATACCTATAATCCCAACAATTTGGGAGGCCAAGGTAGGAGGATCACTTGAAGCGAGGAGTTCTAGACAAGTCTGGGAAAAATAGCATGATGCCATCTCTACAAGAAATTTTTTAAATTAGCCAAGTACAGTGGCAGCTACTATGTGCCTGTAGTGCCAGCTACTTGGGAGGCAGAGGTGAGAGGTTTGCTTGAGCCTAGGAGTTTGAATTTGCAGTGAGCTGTGATAGCACCACTGCAATCCAGCCTAAGCAACAGAGTGAGACTTCAACTCAAAAAAATAAAAAAATTTAAAAATCCATCCAGGTGCAGTGGCTCACGCCTGTAATCCCAATACTTTGGGAGGCCAAGGTGGGAAGATCACTTGAGCTCCAAAGCTTGAGACCAACCTGGGTAACAGAGCAAGACCTTGTCTCTACAAAAAAAAATTTTTTTTTAATTAGCCAGGAATGGTGGCTCACACCTCTGGTCCCAGCTACTTGGGATGCTGAAGTGGGAGGATCTCTTGAGCCTGGGAAGTCAAGGCTGAAGTGAGCCGTGATCATACTACTGCTCTCCAGCCTGAGTGGCAGAGTGAGTCCTTGTCTGAAAACAAACAAACAAACAAACAAAAAAACAGAAGACATTCTTCCCTAATCCACAATTATAAATATAATCTCCTATATTTTCTTCTGATTACTAAAACATTTATCTTTACATATAATTGGAATTGGAATTACATATAATTTGGAATTGCTTTTTATGTAAGGTGAGAGGTGTGAATCCAATTTTATTTTTCCATTCTTTCTCCAGTGATTTTTAATGTCACCACTGTCATATGTCAAGTTTCTATAATATGTGAGTCTGTTTGGTGGCTATTTGGTTTCATTGCTGAATTTGCCTATTTCTGAATCAATATGATATTATCTTAACAATTGTCTTTTTTTTTTTTTTTTTTAAGATAGGGCCTCACTCTATTGCCCAGGCTGGAGTGCAGTGGCGCCATCACAGCTCACTGAAGCCTTGACCTCCCAGGCTCAGGTGATTGATCCTCCCACCTCAGCCTCCCCAGTAATTGGGATTTACAGACACAAGCCTTTTGTATTTTTTGTAGAGATTAGGTTTTGCCAGGTTGCCCAGGCTGGTCTTGAACTTCTGGGATCAAGCTATCCACCCCCCTTGGCCTCCCAAAATGCTGGGATTATAGGCATGAGCCACTGCACCCAGCAACTATTGTTTTATTGAAAAGTTTTTATCTCTGGTAAGAAATTTTTTCTTGCTTAATTCTTTTCTTTAAAAATTACTTAACTAGTTTTGAGCCTTTGCATTTTTATTTTATATTTTATTTTATTATTATTATTGTATTTATTTATTTATTTTTTGAGACAGAGTCTTGATCTGTCGCCAGGCTGGAGTGCAGTGGCGTGATCTTGGCTCACTGCAGCCTCCGACTCCCTGGTTCAAGCAATTCTCCTGCCTCAGCCTCCCGAGTAGCTGGGATTACAGGCATGTGCCACCGCACCCAGCTAATTTTTGTATTTTTAGTAGAGATGGGGTTTCACCATGTTGGCCAGGATGGTCTTCATCTCCTGACCTCATGATCTGCCCTCCTTGGCCTCCCAAAGTGCTGGGATTACAGGTGTGAGCCACTGCACCTGGCCTATTTTTTATTATTATTATTTTTTGAGATGGAGTCTCACTCTCTTGCCCAGGCTGGAGTGCAATGGCAAAATCGCAGTATGATCCATCCACTCCAGCCTCCCAAAGTGCTGGAATTACAGGCGTGAGCCACCATGCCTGGCCAATATTTTATTTTATTTTCTAGTGACAGGGTCTCATTCTGTTGCTCAAGCTGGAATGCAATGGTGCAATCTTGGCTCACTACAGCCTTGACCTCCTGGGCTCAAGCAATCCTCCTGCCTCAGCCTCCCATGTAGCTGGGACTCTAGGTGTGTGCCACCATGCCCAGCGAATTTTTTTATTTTTTGTAGAGACAAGGTTTCACTATGTTTCTGGGCTGGTCTTGAACTCCTGGCCTCAAGTGATCCTGTCTCAGCCTCCCAAAATACTTGGATTACAGGCATGGGCTAGTGGCTCAGCCACTTCCATATATATTTTAGAAACAGCATTGCTGAAACGTATTTAAATTAAAAACTTTATTGATATTTTGGTTGGAATTGCTTTAAATCTATTAATCAATTTGAAGAGAATTGACAACTTTAAGACAATAAGATACCAAGTCTTTCCATGAACATGGTATATATTTCCATTTATTTAGGTTTTTACTATCTTTCAGTAAAATTTTATAATTTTCTCCATGTAGGCCTTGCACATCTCATGTTAAGACCTATTATTAGCCACTTTCTATTGTGTCCGGAATTGGTGGGTTCTTGGTCTCACTGACTTCAAGAGTGAAGCCGCGGACCCTCGCGGTGAGTGTTACAGCTCTTAAGGTGGCGCGTCTGGAGTTGTTCATTCCTCCCGGTGGGCTCGTGGTCTCGCTGGGCTCAGGAGTGAAGCTGCAGATCTTTGCGGTGAGTGTTACAGCTCATAAAAGCAGCGTGGACCCAAAGAGTGAGCAGTAGCAAGATTTATCGCAAAGAGCAAAAGAACAAAGCTTCCACAGTGTGGAAGGGGACCTGAGCGGGTTGCCAATGCTGGCTTGGGCAGCCTGCTTTTATTCTCTTATCTGGCCCCACCCACATCCTGCTGATTGGTAGAGCTGAGTGGCCTGTTTTGTCAGGGCACTGACTGGTGCGTTTACAATCCCTGAGCTAGATACAAAGGTTCTCCACGTCCCCATCAGGTTAGTTAGATACAGAGTTTCGACACACAGGTTCTCCAAGGCCCCACCAGAGCAGCTAGATACAGAGTGTCGATTGGTGCATTCACAAACCTTGAGCTAAACACAGGGTGCTGATTGGTGTGTTTACAAACCTTGAGCTAGATACAGAGTGCCGATTGGTGTATTTACAATCCCTGAGCTAGACATAAAGGTTCTCCAAGGCCCCACCAGAGCAGCTAGATACAGAGTGTCGATTGGTGCACTCACAAACCTTGAGCTAAACACAGGTTGCTGATTGGTGTGTTTACAAACCTTGAGCTAGATACAGAGTGCCGATTGGTGTATTTACAATCCCTGAGCTAGACATAAAGGTTCTCCAAGGCCCCACCAGAGCAGCTAGATACAGAGTGTCGATTGGTGCACTCACAAACCTTGAGCTAAACACAGGTTGCTGATTGGTGTGTTTACAAACCTTGAGCTAGATACAGAGTGCCGATTGGTGTATTTACAATCCCTGAGCTAGACATAAAGGTTCTCCAAGGCCCCACCAGAGCAGCTAGATACAGAGTGTCGATTGGTGCACTCACAAACCTTGAGCTAAACACAGGTTGCTGATTGGTGTGTTTACAAACCTTGAGCTAGATACAGAGTGCCGATTGGTGTATTTACAATCCCTGAGCTAGACATAAAGGTTCTCCAAGGCCCCACCAGAGCAGCTAGATACAGAGTGTCGATTGGTGCACTCACAAACCTTGAGCTAAACACAGGGTGCTGATTGGTGTGTTTACAAACCTTGAGCTAGATACAGAGTGCCGATTGGTGTATTTACAATCCCTGAGCTAGACATAAAGGTTCTCCAAGGCCCCACCAGAGCAGCTAGATACAGAGTGTCGATTGGTGCACTCACAAACCTTGAGCTAAACACAGGGTGCTGATTGGTGTGTTTACAAACCTTGAGCTAGATACAGAGTGCCGATTGGTGTATTTACAATCCCTGAGCTAGACATAAAGGTTCTCCAAGGCCCCACCAGAGCAGCTAGATACAGAGTGTCGATTGGTGCACTCACAAACCTTGAGCTAAACACAGGTTGCTGATTGGTGTGTTTACAAACCTTGAGCTAGATACAGAGTGCTGATTGGTGTATTTACAATCCCTGAGCTAGACATAAAGGTTCTCCAAGGCCCCACACCAGAGCAGCTAGATACAGAGTGTCGATTGGTGCACACACAAACCTTGAGCTAAACACAGGGTGCTGATTGGTGTGTTTACAATCCCTGAGCTAGATATAAAGACTCTCCATGTCCCCACCAGACTCAGGAGCCCAGCTGGCTTCACCTAGTGGATCCCGCACTGGGGCTGCAGGTGGAGCTGCCTGCCAGTCCTGTGCCTTGCGCTCGCATTCCTCAGCCCTTGGGTGGTCGATGGGACTGGGCGCCGTGGAGCAGGGGGCGGCATTCGTAGGGGAGCCTCGGGCTGCACAGGAGCCCACGGAGGGGGTGGGAGGCTCAGGCATGGCGGGCTGCAGGTCCCGAGCCCTGCCCCGCGGGAAGGCAGCTAAGGCCCGGCGAGAAATCGAGCACAGCGCCGGTTGGCCGGCACTGCTGGGGGACCCAGTACACCCTCCGCAGCCACTGGCCCGGGTGCTAAGTCCCCCATTGCCCGCGGCCAGCAGGGCTGGCTGGCTGCTCCGAGTGCGGGGCCCACCAAGCCCATGCCCACCCGGAACTCCAGCTGGCCTACAAGCGCTCCCCGGTTCCCGTTCGTGCCTCTCCCTCCACACCTCCCTGCAAGCTGAGGGAGTGGGCTCCAGCCTTGGCCAGCCCAGAAAGGGGCTCCCACAGTGCACTGGGGGGGGCTGAAGGGCTCCTCAAATGCCACCAAAGTGGGAGCCCAGGCAGGGGAGGTGCCAAGAGCAAGTGAGGGCTCTGAGGACTGCCAGCATGCTGTCATCTCTCACTATGTTTGTTGCTGTTGTAGATGATTATCATTCTTCTTCATCATTGCCAACTTGATAGTGAAAATACAACTCCTTTTAATTTTCATTCTTTGCTTATTAGTTAAGATGAACATTTTTTCATATATTTATTTGCATTTCTTCTCTTATGAATTTCTGGTCATATGGTTTGCCCCTTTTTCTGCAATGTGTGGCAGATATTTTGGTCATCCACCCAAATTCATTTCTTTCTTCTTCCTCGTTAACAGAACTGATTTTGCTTGATTTCTGTCTACAGATAAGGTGACTGTAACTCATGGGTAAACCCTAATTGGTCTAAACCAATCATGGTAATTCCATTCTCCTGTTTTTACAAATTGGTGTAGCGTAACCTATTTTCTAGCCAGCAGGATATGAAAGAGGTCTGTTTGGGATTACCTGGAAAGGTTTCCCTGCTCTTAAGAAGGAAGCAGAGAAGACTACTTAGTCTCTTCTATCGCTGGTCTTTTTGAATATGATGCCTGGACATACTGCAGCTGTCTTGTGACCTGAGGTCTCAAGACTTGGGAATAAGGTTAACATGCTGAGGATAGGAGAACAGAAAAACAGAAAGAAGCTGGGTGTGGTGGCTCACACATGTAATCTCAGCACTTTGGGAGGCGGAAGTGGGAGGATCGCTTGAGGCCAGGAGTTCAAGACCAGCCTGGGCAACATAGTGAGCTCTGCCTCCCCCTTACCAAAAAAGAAGAAAAGAAAAACAGAAAGGACCTAGGCTCTTGACAATATCAACACTTAATGGGTATTTTATGTATATTAACTCTTTTCATTCTTACAAAAACCTTGAGATAGGTGCTCTTAATGTAACCATTTTCAAAAGAGAAACTTGAGGCAAAAATAGGTAACTCGCTCAATGTTACACACCTAGTAAGTGGAAGAGCTGGAATGTAAACACAACAGTCTGGCTTCAGAGCCTGAACTTTTAGTCTATGTACTGTGGTATCTTTTATTAAAATTTTGTATGAAATCAACAAAACCAGAAGTTGCCCTACCTTTAGACTCTTTATGTAAAATGATACATTTCTCTATTGTTTATATAATTTTGAATGGAGTTCTCTATCACTTGCAGTCCAAAGCAACTTGATATTGGGTATTTATCTGTTTTTAGTTGATTTGTAACATCTATTTATATACTGCATTTAAGATACCAACCATTTGACTGCCATTTGTGCTGCGATATTAGTATTTTTAGAAATTTTGTCCCAATTCTCATATATTCCTGTGGGAGCGCAAATTAAAGCACCTTTTAGTAGCTGTTTTAGTTGGGAAAACAGCAAAAGACTTTAAAATGTTCATTTATACCCTTTGAGCCAGCATATCCATGTTTAGAAATGCATTCTAAGGAAATAATCAGAAATAGGCATACAGTTATCCACAATAATATTTTTCTTTTATTTTTATTGTTTTCTTTTCTTTTTGAGACAGAGTTTTGGTTTTGTCACCCAGGCTGGAATGCAATGGTGCAATCTCGGCTCACTGCAACCTCTGCCTGCCGGGTTCAAGTGATTCTCCTGCCTCTGCCTCCTGCCTAGCTGGTATTACCGGCCTGAGCCAGTACACCTGGCTAATTTTTGTATTTTTAGTAGAGATGGGGTTTCACCATGTTGGCCAGGCTGGTCTCAAACTCCTGAACTCAAATGATCCGCCCACCTCAGCCTCCTAAAGTGCTAGGATTACAGACGTGAGCCACTGCGCCCAGCCCACAATAATATTTTTCACTTTATTATTTTTAACACAAAAATCAGAAATAAACCTAAATATTAAAAATTAGGAGATTGGTCTAGAACATTATAGTACAAAAAGTACTTTCAACCTGGCTGTTACCATGCTTGCGAGCTATATTACCTTGATATAAAGTAGTCTGATTAACATTTGGAGCTAAAATGGTATTAGCTTTATTCTCTTTATTCTCTTCTTTATTCTCTTAAACTTGGAAGATGAGCTACTTTCTATTGAAAGTAATTCTTGTTTTTGAGACTTGAAAGCTGAAAGGTACCTCAGGTGCTTTATAGTTTCCATGTATCTTTGTGATTCTTCAAAACTGAAATGGAAATTATGATTGCGTATTTGTTATATAATTATTTTCAAAACAAAAGAATGTTATAGTACAGTCATACAATGGAATATCGATTTTTGGAATTTTGATATGGTAAATGCTTAACAATAAGGAGAACTGTTGATAACATATTGTCAGTTTTGTTTATTTTCTATTTTTATTTATTTATTTTTTTTTGAGATGGACTCTTGCTCTGTCACCAGGCTGGAGTGCAGTGGCACGATCTAGGCTCTAGGCTCACTGTAACCTCTGCCTCCTGGGTTCAAGCAATTCTCCTGCCTCAGCCTCCCGAGTAGCCGGGACTACAGGTGCGCACCACCACGCCCAGCTGATTTTTGTATTTTTCATAGAGATGAGGTTTCATCATGTTGGCCAGGATGGTCTCCATCTCTTGACCTCATGATCCGCCTGCCTTGGCCTCCCAAAGTGCTGGGATTACAGGCGTGAGCCACCACGCCCGGCCGTATTATCAGTTTTAAAAGGCGGATTGCACACAATCACTCTTGAAAATAGTTGGGCAGTCCCTTTCAAAACTAATAATGAACTTATAATACAACCCAGCAATTGTATTTTTGGTGATTTATCCCAGAGAAATGAAGAACGTCTACATAGGAACTTGCAGGTGAATGTTCATGGCAGCTTTATTCATAATAGCCAACAACTGGAAACTACCCAATGTCTTCCAACTGGTGAATGTTTACACAAACTGTACATCCATACCATGGAATACAGCTCGGTAATAGAAAGGAATGAAATATCGATATATCCAACAACTTAGACTAACCTCAAGGAAATTATGCTGAGTGAAAAAAACCCATCTCAAAAGTATAGGCCAAGAGTGGTGGCTCACGCCTGTAATCCCAGCACTTTGGCATGTTGGGACAGGCAGATCACTTGAGCCCAGGAGTTCAAGACCAGCCTGGGCAACATGACGAAACCCCGTTTCTACTAAAAATACAAAAAAAAAAATTAGCCAGGCATGGTGGCACATGCCTGTAATCCCAGCTACTCAGGAGGCTGAGGCACAAGAATCACTTGAACCCGGGAGGCAGAGGTCACAGTGAGCTGAGATCACGCCACTGTACTCCAGCCTGGGTAACAGAGCAAGACCCTGTCTCAAAAAAAAAAAAAAGTGTACATACTGCATAACTTTACTTATGTAACAATCATGAAATAACATAATTATAGAAATAAAGAATAGATTAGTGGCTTCCAGGAGTTACAGATGGGTGGGATGTGTGGCTACAAAGGAGTAACACTAGGAATCTTGTGATATTAATAGTACACTTGGGTTTCTTGATTGTGGTGGTGGTTATGCAAGACTACCTGTGATAAAATTGTGCATATACACACACACACACACACACACACACGGAATGCATGTATGAAATCTGAATAAGCTCTGTGGATTGTACCAATGTCATTTTCTTGGTTTTGACATTGTGTCATGGTTGTATAAAATGTTAGCATTGGAGTAGTCTGGGGGGAAGGATGCAAGAGAGAGAAGGATATACATTTATTTGCAACCTCCTGTGAATCTACAATTATTTCAAAATAAATAGTTAAACAAACAAAACCAGGATTTATGAAATAAAAACATCTATTTAAAAGAAAATTATAAAATTATAAAGCATTACATTTGGGGGATGGTCATTTTTTTTTAAGAGACAGGGTTACTGTGTCGCCCAGGCTGGGGTGCAGGGGTCCAATCATAGCTTACTGTAGCCTCAAACTGATCCTCCCCCTTCAGCCTCCCAAGTAGTGAGGACTACAGCTACAGGTGTGGGCCACCACATCTGGCTAATTTTTTTTTTTTTTTTTTTTTTTTTTTTTTTTTGTGCAGACAGGATCTTGCTATGTTCCCCAGGCTGGTCTTGATCTCCTGGCTTCAAGAGATCCTCCCATCTTGGCCTCCCAAAGCACGGGGATTACAAGCGTGAGCCACTGTGCCCAGTGAATTTTTAAAGTAACTCTAGCTGTAATTGTTAAATGACACAATGCTAAAATAGATCTTGAAAGAGGCTGTTTAAAGTCTCTCTCTATATGTATTTTTTTTAAGACAGAGTCTTGCTCTGTCACTCAGGCTGGAGTGCAGTGGTGCAATCTCGGCTCACTGCAACGTCCGCCTCCTGGGTTTAAGCAATTCTCTGCCTCAGCTTCCTGAGTAGCTGGGATTACAGGTGCTTGCCACCACGGCTGGCTAATTTTTGAATTTTTAGTAGAGACGGGGTTTCACCATCTTGGCCAGGCTGGTCTTGAACTCCTGACCTCGTGATCCACCCGCCTCGGCCTCCCAAAGTGCTGGGATTACAGGCATGAGCCACCGTGCCCGGCCTAAAGTCTATAATTTTTTTAAAGCAGGATGTAAAAATAGTATATTTGGTGGGACCTCAATTTCACTCTAAAAATATACTTTATTTGTATGTATTATATATATATAAATATACACAATACACATATTCTTACACATACATATATATGTATATAGGTGTGTGTGTGTGAAGTGTGTATAATGACATATACTATGACATTAACAGTGACTATCTCTGGATAGTACGATTACAGGTTTATCAGAGACAATTGCTCCCAAAGCCACTCTCCCCTCCTATAGTAATAGAGTTTTAGCTGGGAAAATAGCCACCCAGAATAGAAACTACATTTCCCAGTCTCCTTCACAGGTAGATGTGGCCATGTGCCTATGTTCTTACCAATGGGAAGGTGTGGAAGTATTAACATTTTGTTGCTGCTTTTGAGAACCTTCCCTAGGAGATAGCTGGGATGGGTCTTTGGCCTCTTCATGACTTTCTCTTTCTTGCTGCATTTCTGCTCTGCCAGCTTAGGTGATGAGGATACAGGTCCTACTGTAGGGATGGCAGAGGAGTGAGCCAGAAGGAGCCTGCACACTCTGAGGTCTCTGCGGAGTGGAGCTCCCATACCAGCCTGGAATATTCACCTCTGGGCTTCATACAGCTGAGAGCTAAATAAACTTCAGTCTTGTTTAACTTCCACAGTTATCTAGGAGTTTCCATCACTTGCAGTCACACCCAACTCTAATAAAATGCAAGAATGATTTTTATTTTTATTTGTGTACTGTTCTGTATTTTCCAAAATTTCTACAGTTAACATATGCCGTTCATAATGAGAAGTAAAAGTTATTTGTAAGAAACATAAGAAATCCATCAGGCCCATTCTTTCAGCCAGAAATATGATTATGTTGATCAAATCTTCCAGATTTTCCAGAAATGTCCCAATTCCAAACATTATGGCTGATTGTCTGCATAATTATCAAATAACAGTTTCCTGGACTTAATTTGGAGAATACGGTGATTATGATGATAATTCTGAACTGGGGGCAGCAAGGCTTACTAAAATGTTTGTGTCTTTATCCTTCTGTTCCAAAGAATCTCCTTTAGGCCATAGGATCACTTCCTTTTCCTGAAGGCCTTTGACTCAACACTTGGGCATGTGAATGCACTACTGTTTTTATCCTTCTCTGATTGTTTTGGTGGATAAGTCATGTCTCTATGCAACCTGAGAACAAGTGCTATTGTAGTAGACACCTGTTGTTTTTGTCTGCCCTGCACCCGCTTTCCGTTGGGAACTGCCCTTCCTCATCTCATGTGATTTGGGTGGAACTGTCAATCCCAGCACCTCCTCGTGCCCCAAGTGGCCCCTAACCACAGGCCTGGCCCCCCACACCTGGGACTGGTCCATCATCCAACTTCCACGCTGATTGGTCATGCAAAGCCATTCAGTCCTGTGATTTGCTATATGGACCCTGGAAGAAAGCAGGTTTCTGTCCTCATCTGCTGTAAAGAGGTTGGCTTTGGACTAGCGGTGGCTACCTTTCCTGCCTCATGGGGAGAGCTTGTCTAGTGTAGGAGAAAGTCAGCCAGCTGCTCCAGGAGAAGCAAGTAGAGCCCAGTCCTAGACAGAGGGAGAAAGAACAAATGAGCTGATGATTTGAGATGAGCTGATGATTTGAGATGAGCTGACATGGGCCCTTAGATCTAGCCATGGCTGAAGGTACAGCCACCCTTGGACTTCTCAACAAATTCCCCTTTGGCTTAACTTTTTGGGTTGCTAGAGCCTTGCCTAAGCTTCTTGTGTCCTCCCAGGAGCCCAAGCCTATTTTCAGTCAAGGGAGGAGTGTGTTATTTGGTTGCTTCTGCTAAACAAGAAATTAATCTTGCTCTAAATACAGATTTATATTTTGTGGCATCTGGCTCTGTTCTTGAGCTTCCCTGACACTTTATCATGATCAATTGCTAGGAATCGTTTTTTTTGTGTGTGTGTTTTTTTTGAGAAGGAGTCTCGATCTCGTCACCCAGGCTGGAGTGAAGTGGTGCAATCTCAGCTCACTGCAACCTCTGCCTCCTGGGTTCCAGTGATTCTCCTGGCTCAGCCTCTTGACTATCTGGGATTTACAGGCACGCGCCACCACGCCCGGCTAATTTTTGTATTTTTGGTAGAGATGGGGTTTCAACATGTTGGCCAGGCTGTTCTCAAACTCCTGACTTCAGGTGATTCACCCGCCTCGGCCTCCCAAAGTGCTAACATTACAGGCGTGAGCCACTGCGCCAGGCCAATTGCTAGGAATTTGAAGGGAAAGTCTAATGACAGACACAGGTAGTGGAACCCAGGGTACGTGATTAGAAAAAAAAAAACAATCTTACCCTATTGTTAGTAGGATTGTGTATTAATTGTTGCTCTTCATAGATCAACATATTTAACATGTAACAAATATTTATTATGCACCTTTATACCAAGCACCAACATTGCATACTGGAAACAGGCCCTGTACAAGGAGAAACTCAATACTAATAAACAGATCATCCCTTATACTTTAGAGGATTTTTGCTTTTTGGTTAGAGACTTTCATTTTCCTTATCTCTTTTGGTGTCTACAACAGCCCTATGAGATGGGTTGGTTCTGGTCAACAGATAGTTATTCTGCAATTGATAGGTCCCTTCTGCTAAGTGAGAATGTCCAATCATTTAGGTACACAAAACAATATAGTCTGAGATTCTGAAAGAAAAAACAAGTGGCGATCAAGGCCCAGTAGCCAGTTATTCTCTTAGTCACTGAACGTTAAATCATTTAAAAGCTGGGGTTTGAAAGTCACACACATCTCCTGGAGTTTGCCCCTCACAAGCTGGGTGACCTTGTCTGTCAGTGGAGATGTTAGTAACAGGGAACTCTGATAAATGGTAAGGATCTCAAACATTTAGAGACATGTACTACTACTGGCCTTTTTTTTTTTTTTTTTTGAAACAGAATCTCATTCTGTCACTTAGGCTGGAGTGCAGTGACACGATCTCATCTCCCTGCAACTTCTGCCTCCTGGGTTCAAGTGATTCTCGTGCCTCAGCCTCCTGGGTAGCTGGGATTACAGGCGTGGGCCACCACACCTGGCTAATTTTTGTATTTTTAGTAGAGATGGGGTTTCACCATGTTGGGCAGGCTGGTCTTGAACTCCCGACCTCAGGTGATCCACTGGCCTTGGCCTCCCAAAGTGCTGGTATTACAGTCTGAGCCACAGCACCCGACCTACTACCGATCTTTAAAGTAGCAGGTCTGGATACCCATTACATAAGAGAATTTTTAGAACTCTCCATAAAAGGTGATTCTGGTAGACCTGGTTGTAATTTCAGACTGGACAATTCAGAGAAAAATAATATCGACTTTTATTTTGATAACTCCTCTCTTTCAAGGACTCCCCAGTTATTTTAACTACCTGAGAATGTCTCTTTCAAGGACTCCTTGCATGGTGGTGCAGCCCCGTCCAGATGCCTGTGTCCTGGGTCCCAGCAGATTCCTGCCACTCTTGGAGCAGACATGGCCCTCGGTGACCAACCTGCAGGCAGCAGACCCCAGAGGCCCAACACTCCCTCACTCGCATCTGACTCCCCTCTGTCCCAGGAATAGTTTCTGTCCCTGGTTTGATGGCCGTGGCCAGGAATATTCTAACAGACAGTCATTGTCTAACTTCAGAGGGTAGTTTGATTAACTGGTTTCTGAGCAGGGTTTTCGGGCAAGAAGGCAAAACTTCTCAAGCTGCTCTCTCCATTGCACAGAATGTGGAGGTGGGGATAACTGAAGTCAGAAAATTCTTTCCAGTCTCAGCTAATTTCCCTTCTTGGGGCTTGAGGAAGAAGAATCACAGTGGCCTGCACTGATGAAGCACCTGCATTGTGCCAGAGACTTTTTATAATCACCTCGAAGTCTCCCAGGGCTCTGTACGGTAACATAGGCATGTTAACATCTTCATTTTACAGCAGAAGAAGCTGAGGCTCAAGTTGAGTGGCTTGCCACTGGTGGGGACCAAGTGTAGGTTCTAACCCAGGGTGTCTGTCTCCAGAGACTGCCACAGTGCCTCCTAATTCCACCACGGCCACATCCTTCTTGTTAGAATGGGAGGAATGGCCTTGAGGGGTCAGACAGGGGCCAGGCTCCCACCAGCCTCTAAAGCCTTCAGGACCTTGGTGATAGAAGCTCTGCGTCCCTCTCCTTGCCCCCTGAGTATGAAGCTGACAGATGAAAGTGGAATGGGTGCCAAGGAAGCTGGGCGTCAGGCTTCTGAGAGCCGAGCCCCAGCCTCGATAAGATGCCTGGCACACACCTGAGGGCACCGGGGAGTGGAGAGGAAGAGTCCTGCTGGGTTCTGAATGCGGGGCCGCCAGTCCCTATCCCCTAAGGGAAGAGAGCACAGAAACTTCCCAAGGCTCATAGGCCCCAGCCTGGGGTGGACAGCTCTGCAGAGCCCAGTGGCCAGTCACACTCCGTGGGAAAGCCTTGGCCCTGGCCCCCCCGGGAGCCACGCTGGTGCCGCCTCCTGCCCACGGCTTGGCTCAGCGGGTTCCCAAGTGGCTTTACTTCCTCCCCCCTCTTGCTCCCACCTCCCACAGTCCCCAGGGAGACAGGGAGGCCACTGGCAGAGTTGACCCTCAGTCCCCAAGTCCCACAGGCCCCTGCAAGCGCCTTCCCCCACACACCTCAGAGCCAGGCTTCCCCAGGAGGAGCAGGAGGGGACTCTACCCCTCCCCAAGGAGCCCCTGCCCCAGGTCCATTTAGGGCTGGCCGGCCCCATCCCCACTCCTTCCGCTGTCCACTGAGGCTCCACTCTCGGCTGCAATAACAGGGCTTTGGGTATGGGCTGTTGTTTTTGCAGCTGGGATGGGGCGGAGCAGCAGCGGGAAGGCGTCTAGGGCACTGACCGTCTGAGAAAGCCCCGAGCCCACATTCCCACTAGGCCCAGGGCAGCCCCTTCAGGCTAGTGACAGAGCTGTTCCTGGGGAGAGAGGCCCATGGGCGAGGCCCAAGCATAGAGGGCAGGCAGAGAAGGAGGCCAGCCAGTAGGGCTGAGAGAGTTTAGGGGAGCCTAGGAGCCCCACGCCCTCTCTGAGCCACCCCTCCCCAGATGACTGTGGCCTCCCTCGTTTCTAACTGCAGCTGGACCCAGCCTCTCCCCGCTCGCCCAGCCCCCGCACACATCTGGGAGATGCTGGAGAAAGCTTCTTTAAAACCAAGAACAAACACAACCAAACATCTCATTTACTAAGGGGAAAATGCTGGAAACTAAAAAGAATGAAATCAAGATCACCCCTAGTCCCTTCATTCAAAAATATTCATTATGAACATCTTGACATATTTCCCCATAAGCTATTTTTAAAGTTGTGGTAAAATAGACATAACATAAAATTTACCTTTTTAAAAATTTTATTTATTTATTTTTTTTTTTTTTTGAGATGGAATCTCGCTCAGTTGCCCAGGCTGGAGGGCAGAGGTACGATCTCAGCTCACCGCAACCTCTGCCTCCCGGGTTCAAGCAGTTCTCTTGCCTCAGCCTCCCGAGTAGCTGGGATTACAGGCGTGTGCCACCACACCCGGACCAATTTTTTTGTATTTTTAGTAGAGATGGGGTGTCACCATATTGGCCAGGCTGGTTTCGAACTCCTGACCTTGTGATCTGCCCACCTCGGCCTCCCAAAGTGCTAGGATTACAGGCATGAGCCACCGCACCCGGCCCTAAAATTTACCATTTTAACCATTATTTTGTGTACAGTGGCATTCGTACATTCACACTGTTTTACAACCATCATCACCAGCCAGCTCCAGGACTTTTCATCTTCCCAAACTCTGTACCCATGAAATACTAACTCCCCATTCCCACCTCCCCCCAGCCCCTGGCAACCACTTTTCTACTTTCTGTCTCTCCAAATTTGGCAACTCTAGGTACCTTGCCTAAGTGGATCATACAGTATTTGTCCTTTCCTGTCCGGCTTCTTTCACTGAGCATATTAGCTTCAAGGTGCATCTATGTTGCAGCATGTGTCAGAATTTCCTTCCTTTTAAATGCTGAGTAATATTCTGTTGTGTGTCACATTTTGTTTATCCATTCATAACCTGTTTTTCAAGATTATACTTTGTCAGATGTTAAATACTCTGATTTTTTTTTTAACTCAGCTGTTGCCATGTCATTAAATTTTTTTTCTCAACATGATTCTTTTTTTTTTTTTAAGACAGGGTATCACTCTGTCACCCAGGCTGGGATGATTGTGGCATAATCACAGCTTACGGCAACCTTGACCTCCCAAGCTCAGGTGATCCTCCCACCTCAGCCTCCCAGGTAGCCGAGACTACAGGTATATGCCACCACACCCAGCTAATTTTTTGTATTTTTTGTAGAGACAGGGTTTTGCCACATTGCCCAGGCTGTTCTCAAACTCCTGGACTTAAGTGATCTACCCTCTTTAGCCTCCCAAAGTTCTGTGACTACAGGTGTGAGCCACCATGCCTGGCCCTAAACATGATTTTTAGGGCTGCCTTTTCATTCCTCGTAGATGGAATGGCACGTATTTCACCAGTATCCTACTCTTAAATACTGAGATACTTTCTTTGTCTGCTTGGTTTGTTTGTTCACTATTATAAATGGCCCCGAGAAAAACATCTTGGTAGAAATTTTTTGGAGGGCCCTCCTGTGGCCCTGCCTGACTTCTGACGTCTCAGGTGATTTCCCAAGGGAGAACCCCAGGAGTAGAATTGCTCTTCAAAGTGATAAACACTCCCCAGTCTCTTGATAAATATCCCCCCAAACTTTCCAGAAAAATCATGCCCACTGCTCCTCCATGAGCAGGGTAGGAAATCCAGAGGCTTTTCCTTTGCTCACCACACATTCAGCAAATTTCTGAGCATCCATGGGCCTGGCCCTGAGGACCTGGGGTGCTGGGCTGTGCCTCATCTCTCCCTGGAGAAAGGTGGAGAGCTCTACAAACAAGGGTTCAGGGACTCCTGCAGCTCCCTGTCTTAAATCCTTGATGGCCATGGAGCCGAGTGGCTCGGGAGAGAGCCAGCCTGGGCAAGGAAGCAACTAGTGGGGTGGGGGTACAGCATCTCTATCCCAGGTGTGGCTTAAGGCTGGCCTAGGTCCACTCTGCAGACCCCTTAGTGGCTGCCCAGCCAGCCCCATGCAGAGGAGTAGCTATGTAAATGACAGCTGTTGAGGGTTTACTATGGGCCGGGCCCACTGACCCCTCACACAAACCCTGTGCTACAAGTACCTTTATTATCTCCGTTTTGCTGACCAAGGGACCGGGTTCCATTTGGTACTGTGTTTAAGGCACACAGCTGGTGTGCAGTAGAGCTGGGATTCATAATCAGGTCTAACTCCAGAGCTTGTGCTCTAGATGGTTCCCACGTCCTGCTGCTTCTCCCAGGGGCTCTCCTGGCATCCCAAGTCTGGGAGAAGAAAAGGAAGCACTGTGGGCCAGTGATGGTCTGTGGGGTGGGATCAGCTCTGCCCTCTCTGCCCAGCCTTGCTCAGCCCTAGGCCAGAGACCTCTGGCCACAGGGAATGAGGAACACTCCATGTCCCAGAGGGATCTGGCTAGGGCAGGAATGGGGCGACTAGGGCAGGGGCAGCGGGATCCACGCTGCACACAGAAAGCCTGATTGTGTACAGACTGTGTTCTTTGGAAAAACAAGTATCATGAAGTCGTCTTGTTTTGGACAATCTGATGTCCCAGAGACCCAATGCCAAAAAAAAAAAAAAAAAAAAGGGCTGAGGAACTGGAGCCAGCACCGTTGAAGCCTTCAGGTGAAGCTGGCCCTTCAAGGGTGGGGAATGGGAGCTCCCGCAGGCTCCCAAGCTGGAACCCGGTGCTGACGGCTCCTAGGGGTCCAGGCTTTGGGCCGGAGAAATTATTCCACATACAGATGGGAGCAGATCAGAGGAGCTCAGAGTCCTCTCCCGGACCACAGCCTGGAGGGCCACGTGCAGAGGGGCCTCACCACATCCAGGAAGCACCAAGATCCGCCTGAGCCCAAGGAGCAGGCGCAGAGGCAGCCAGGTTGGGGGCCGGCCAGGCCTCAGGCTGTCAGAGCACCCTACAAGGCAGGGAAGGCTGCTCAGCATGAACCCAGGCGGGGAGGGAGATCTTTTTTCCAGAACAAGACTCCCTGTGGGGCGCAGGAAAGAACTCAGTGGGCTCAAGAGTCTGGGACGTGCCTGCCTGACTCCGCTCAGGTCAAGAGGGCAGCCCACTGGCCTGGCCTCACCAGCCAAAGCCAACACAGGAAATGCCAACCAGACCTCAACATCCGGGCACCCAATTTGCTCTGGCTGGCAGGGAGCGTCGGTCTTCCCGGGCTCAGTTGTTGGCAGTGCTAACCAGAGGGAACCATGGCTTTAGTGCTCGCTCAGCGGATGCGGGGTCCCCGGGCATGTCCTCATGGGCTCTCAGCCCCAGGACAGGAGGAGCTGGGCAAACACACAGGAGACCAGCAGGCAGCAGGAGGGAGCCAGGCGTTTCCCTGGACGGCGGCCATCGGGCTGTTGTTGGGATCCAGTTTCAAGCTCCTTCGAGGAGAGCCGCATGGGGTCATCCCCTCCACGACGCCCCAGGAAGGAGACTGATGAGCAGACAGTTGTTAACGCCGCGCCGCCGCCGCCACCGTGGTGATTAAGGCCGCAGTAATTGGCCTCGCAGCCAGGCAGGGGCCGGGCCTGACAGCCGGCAGCCGCCAGGGTCTGCAGAGTAGGGGAGGGGGCGGCCCGTGCTGTAGCTGTGTGCGCTGATGGGATTAGGTTGTGAATTGACACTCAATCCTCCTTAGTGATTTCCTTCCTGGGGCCCCAGCCAGGGCCAGGACTGTGGGGATGGGGGTGGGCTGTGGGCAGAGAGCAGACATCAGCCTTTCCAGGCTCCTTTTAAGCTGGCCACTAGCTGGGGTGGGGGTGCAGGGTCTTCATCCAGGACTAAGCTTGGCCAAAGCCTGCTCTGCAGTCCCTCCGCAACTGCCCAGCCAGCTCCATGTGGAGGATGAGCTTTTCCAGTAGGGACCTTCTTTCCCACATTCCCACTGGTGCTTGGCGCTAGTCAAGCCTTGCGGGTGGCCTCTGTACTCCCAGCATGGAGCCTGGCACAGAGTAAGTTTACTAAGGATATTGGCAAACGGAATGGATGGATGTCCTCTTCCCTGATTGGCCTAAGTGCCTTGTGGGAGAATCTCTGTGACCCCCTCCAAGGTCTGGGTGGTACCTGTGGGAGCATTTTTTTACAATCTCAGGAGTGAAGAGCTCTCCAAAGACCACTAGGTCCCTGGCCCTGCCTCTCCCAAGAGCATCCCTCCAGCCCTCTCTGCTGGGCAGCTGTTCCACACTTCTGAGTTCTCCCCCCTGCATTCGTGCCTGTGTGCATGAGCATGTGTGCGCATGCATGCACCTGGGGATGTGTGCTTACGTCCGCCCAGGAGGGACACTGGCTATTTTCTTCCCCACGCATCCTCCGTGTCCTCTTGGCTTCCCGGGGTCCCTCTCGGAGGTCCTAGGCAGGAAGGAGGAAGGCTGTGTGTCTGGCGTGAAGGCCTGTGGGTCACGAGCTTTCCAGAGCCTTCCTTGTTTACTCTTCAGGCCGAGGCCCAGGCCACATCGGCCTCCCACCTGCTTGTCCCCTCAGGCTCTTCCCTGAGGGAGTGCCCCAGGCTCTCTGTGAGTAAGAGCTGGCTCTTGGCTGCTCTAGGCTATGGCTGGAATAAGGGGCATCCCCTCCACTGCTGGATGTGCTGGAGGCCAGGGCGCTAGAGACGGCAGCAGCCGTGGAGGGAGCACACAGGCCCAGCTGTCAGCCTCAGTAGGCAGGGGCAGAGCCAGCTCCCACTGGTGGTGTTAGGCAAGAAATGCCCCTAAGGCCTGGGGAGACATGTGCATATCCCAGGCACGTTCAGGCTGAAATGCAATCCGTCTTGCCTTCTTGCCAGGTTTGCCTTGAAAACCCCTCCACTGCCAGCTGCTCAGCTCTGCCCAGCCTAGGCCTCCAGGGCCCCAGGCTCCGCTGCCTGAGGAAAACCTGGATCCTTCAGGGAGGAGGGGCACCGCCGCCGCATTCCAAGGAGACCTCACACCCTCCCTCGCCTGCTGCTGCTTCCTTCTTATTCTTCGGCCCCTCTCCCCCATCCCAACCCACCACCCCCCCAGGGCTTTTCTAGCCCTCTGCTCCTCACATCCTCCTGCCCCCAGGGAAGAGGCTGAAAGCTGTGGTAGGATGAGCACGAGGCCTGGCTGTGCAGCCCGGGACAGCCAAGAAACTTCTCTGAGCCTCTGTTTCCTCATCTTTAAAATGGGAGTGACGAATGTCCACACCCTAATTACTGGCCTTGGAAGGATATCAATGATGCATTGCTGAGCGAAAGCAGCAGGATGTAATTCAGAAGGCATTGGAGATGCTCTGGAAAGATAGCCAATAAATTGCAGTCAGAGGCTACCTGCAGAGTCTGGGGGTGGTGAGAGAGGGACAGAGGAGTAATGGGTGTGTGGTGGGGAGAGAATTTTCACTTTTTACTTAATATACCTTGAATTTTGTTTCAGCAAGTATGTACCCCTTTTGTGATAAGAAAAAAAATGAAGACATTATTTTTCAGAGTTGTTCCCAGCTTTAAATGTGAATGTGTATTTGAATGACGGAAGAAGCCTCGGGCATGTGTGGCTGGGACAGGCTGCTCTCCTTCCCCGGAGCTAAATGACTCAGGTCTCCTCACTTGTCCACCTCCTTCCCTGAGGGGGTTAAAGCAGCAGCACTTCTGGAACAGAGAGAAGGGAGCCCAGAAGCCCCAGCAAGGCCAGAGGCCCACTGGGCCACAGTGGGGTGGCATGGAGGTGGCACCCCCACCCCGCCTTGTCCCTCCTTGTCTCCTGGCTGCGGTGGCCGCCCGGCAGGCCACTAGGGCTGCCCACTCTGCCTGGCTGGAGACCTGCTTCCAATTATCCATGAAATCTGAGCTGGAAGAGACCTATTAAAGCCCCATTTAGTTTGATCCCCCTGGGGGCCAGGGATCTTTTCCGGCGACATCCCCCTCCTTGTCCGACTGGGACTCCAAGCCCTTTGGATGTTATCTCCTCCTGGGTCAATATTGTGACAACTCCAGCTGTGACCCAGGCCACCCCAGAGCCAGAGCTGGTCTGCGCCTGGCCTGGCGAGGTGCGGAGGGGTGGGGGTGGAAACCCAGCTCCCTTCCCACCTTGAGGTTCCCGCTGCCCACTCCCCTCCTTTTTCCTTTTTTTCAGCTGCAGCAGGACCATCCCGCCTCCAGCCTGGCCTGCACCCCACGTTCCAGGCTGGTCCACAGGTTGCTCAGTGGCTCCTGGACCTACCTGGTCATCCCATAGGAAGCTCTTACTGGTAGGGACTGTCTTTCCCATATTCCCAGTCGTGCCTGGTACAGGGTTGCATGTTTCATAACACCCTGTTACATAAGAAATAATAAATAATGGTGATTAATGACTGCCTCCCCTCGTCCCTGGGCTTGCCTGGGTCAGACCTCCCAGGGAAGGCACAGGGGCTCCTGGAGGAGAAGGAGGAGGAAGAGGAGGAGGAGGAGGGGAGCAAGGGGTGCAGGGGGCACCCTCTATCCCTCCACATCCTCCCCAAGCACCTCTGCGTGTCTGCATGTCCTCCCCACAGGCCACTCCCTAGAGAGCAAGAGGAAGCCACCAGAGAGGGTAAGCACAGGCCCTGAAGCCCCCCAGAGAGGGAGGCCCCAGACAGAGGGAGGCCTCAGGGCTCCTGTGACCCTGCCTGCAGGGCGCACTCTCTCTGTTCAGTTGGCCTTGTCTCCTCGAGACCACCCTGGTGGAGGGATGATGCCTACCGAGGCCCCTGGCTCCCACCTCCCCGCAGCCGCACCCAATTTGGGCCTCTAAGCACCTCTCGTGGGTGAGACGGGGCTGGGCCTTTGGGGGTGGTCCGCTGGGGGAATTTGTGGCTTCTTTCCCAATTCTGGAGCAGCAGGGAGGGAGTGAGGAAGCCACTTTGGGGGCACGGCTGGGGCAGCCACTTGGAGGTGAGAGGAGGGCAGCAGGAAATGAAGGATAAGAAGGTTCTGGAGGAAGCAGAGAAGGGAAGGAGCTTGGGAGCAGTGCCCAGAAGTGTGCCCGGCCAATCCTCCCTGCCAGACTCCCCTCTGGGTCCCCACAGAGCTGCAGAGACCCCGAGACAGAGCCAGGACTGTGTGGGGAGGGAGCACTTCTAAAGGTCATCCCAGCCAGTCTCCTGCCTCCGACCACCTCCACCAGCCCCATGGGTGGATATGGATCCTGTTGTCCAGATCTTTGTGGACACAGATTTTGCAGCCTTTGCCACTGAAGGACTCCTTCCTTAAGTCTAGCTAAACCTTCCTTGCTGCACTTTAAACCTGTATTTCCTTGTTCTATCTAAAGTGGGTTCACATAAATGGATCCTCCTGCACCATTAACCTATTGCTTTGTTCCTCCAGAGTTCACTCCCCAGAGGAAAGAGCACCATTTGATCTAGCAGCTCCTAGGCACTCTGGCCCCACCATCATCCCCACCACCAGGCGCAAACTTGCAGGCCCAGAGACAGAGCCTGTTGCCTGGGGACCAGGGCAGAGCCATTACCCTTTGCTGAACCTGTCCTGAGTCCTCCTCATCCTGGGTACCACTTCGATGGGGGACACGGTGTGCTGAGGGCTGGAGGCCAAGGGCCAGGCCAGTCTGGGGCTGGACCCCTGCCACTCACAGCTGCTCTTTGCTGCAGCCTGGCAACCTCACAGGAATTTCATTTATCTCTGTCAAAAGTCAGGATGCAACGTGAAGCCTTCCTCACTTCCCTGGAGGTTGAGGGTGGCGAGGTGTAGAAGGCAGACTGGCTTTGGCCTTCCCCAGTACCCCTGGGCTGGGCAAAAGGAAGCTCACTAGAGCACATATACCCCACATGCACATAGAGATTCACCAGCATGTACAAGCACACACCTGCAATGCACATCGATGCATGCACACATTTTGGCATGTCTGCACAGGCTCACCTGCACAAAAATGTTCATATGCACATGCACGCGCCCACTTTCACACACGCACAGGCATGCTCATTTTTGCACATAGGTCCTATCTCCATGTACATGCTTGCTCATATCTTCATATGAACATATGTTCATCCACACACAATGGCACACTCCATGTGTGCGCACACGGGAACATTAATGGGAGGCTGTTAGTTACTGCTTCCTTCAAATTTATGGAATGTATCCTGGAAGTTGTTCAAAAGTCCATAGAGAGGAGGAGCAAGGGGAAGGAAAGGAAGAAAAACACCAGGCCCCTAAGAGGGGGTCTCTCCCATGCCCTTTGGGAGCCACTGGCCTCCCAGGACACCAAGAGACACCAGGCCTTGCAGAGTGGAGTTTCAAGAGGTGAGCATGGTGGTAGTGCATTCCAGGACAAGGGGTGGCCTGAGCAGGGGATGGAGTGGGGAAGGTTCAGGCCAAGTTTGGTGGAAGGCTAGGAGACCACTTTATTGGAGCAGAGGGTTCTCCGGCTCAGCCTAGGGGATGATGAAGCCAAAGAGTGCAAAAGGGCTTTTTGCAATGGGGGCCAGGGAACTTTTCTAAGCAGGAGACTGGAAGGATCCTAATGGCCCTTTGGGAAGCTTCATTCACTCAATGCCTCCTACATGCTTTGTCTAAGGGGGCACAGAGGGGAGATGGATGATTCTGCCTGGAGCAGGTGGGAAGGGCAGAAACAGCTCCCCATTTGACATGGGCCTCAAAGGATGGATTGGAGTCATCCAGACAAGGAAGGACAGGAAGGATGACCAAAGCTGGCAATGGAACCTGGCAGCTGTGTGTATGTGTGGTGGGAAGGAGGGCTGTGCTCTTCATTCATGTGTGCCCCGTAGAGCCAAGCACAGGTTGTCCTGAGGAGCTGAACACAGTGTCTGTGCCAGAATCAAGGAGTCCAGGCAGCTATGACGGTCCCCCAGGACATGTAAAAAGAAGCAAGTAAAAATTGCCTGATGCTACCCTGGGCCAGGCTGACCTGACCCAGGGAGGAGAGCAGCTGAGTGAGTGCGAGCCATTAGGGAGGACACAAGACAGGTGCCAAGGCCAGCTGGCTGACCCACCAGAGAGACCCACTTAGGTCTCAGGGGTAACAGCCATTTGTTTCCCCACCCAGATAGAGAACATGTGGAGGTATGGGAAGCTACCTGGCCGTACTCCTCTGACACCTCCCCTCCCTGGGAAACCTCCACCAAAGACATTCCCGCCAGCCCACCCACCCTACCCCCACCATCCTGCTGTGGTCAAGTGGCCAAGGGCCCAGCACTCCAGGCTCCAGCCCCATCACGGCCCCCTCCAGCCTCTATCTCTTCAGAGCGGGAAACACCACATCCCAGCTGTCTGTCCCAAATCCACCTGGAGGCCGGCCAGCTTGGCCGAAGCCCAGCTTAGTTAGGCCAGACCCAGGAGACACTGCCGGGAAGAGGCAAGGACTGGAAGGAAGCGGCTGGGCCAGAGACGGGCCCCTCTCTGGGGCTTACCCAGTAGGGTTCCTCCTGGCATACCCATGGGTTTGCCCATTGCCATTCACTTCTGAGCCCCTGGTCCCTTGGGCTGCGGGCTCCAGGCCTCTCCCTGCAGCCCTGAAGAGATACAGGTTGCCATAACAGCTGGTGGTTGGACTCCACCCTGATCGCAAAAGGCTTCGGGAGGCCTGGCCTTGGGCCCCACTTGGGACAGAAGTGAATCTGGTTGGAAACCCGGAGTCCTGTCCTGCAGACTTGAAAGCTTGTCAACAGGCTTACGCAGAGACCCTCACCCTGAGAATAACTCCCTCCTTCCTCATCACCTTCCCACCTCCCGCAGCCAACAGCTTGCATCAGCAGCAACAGCTGCTACAGGCCCAGGGGCAGCCTGGGGCCACCACCATCACAGTGGGAGGTGGAAGAAGGCCAGGCGCGTGGGGCCCAGGGCTGCTCCACCCTCCCTGTTCTGGGCAGCAGGCAGCGCTCATCCTCCGGACCCCAGTCCCACGGGCCTCCAGCTCCTGAAGAGGCTCCTCTCTCCCTTCCCCTCGGCTTTATCCTTTACCCACACCGCTCCCAGCTGGGAGACACTTTTCTGCTTCCCATAGCAACTGGAGGCCACAATTAGAGGCACCTCCAGAAATGCCCTCTGACGGGATGTTTGCCGCATTCCATGCAAATTCCTTCTTTCCCCCTTTTGCCTACTAAAAAGAAGAGCCAGAGAAACCCAAGGTCAGGGGTCAAAGAGCAGGACAGGGACAGCCAGAGGAGGAGCAAGACAAGCACCTGAGAGACAGTCCCCAAAGGCTGCCTGGTTAGAGGGCAGGAGACACAGGAGAGGACTGGAGACAGAGGCCCAGGGTTGGGCGACAAAGTGGGGTGAAACCTGGGTGCTCCTGTGGGGGACAGGTGGCCAGCGCCAAGACAATCTAATGAGGGCAGCGGGCTGGCCCCCTCCCCTTCCTCACTGCCACTCTCAGCCAGGCCTGAGGCTCTAGGTCACCTGCTAGTGCGGGAGGCAGTTAAGGGTGTGAGCTTTGGGGCCAGACACTAAGGTGTGTCCCTAATAGGCTGTGTGCTGCCACCTCTCTATGCCTGGCTTTCTTCATCTGGAAAATGGGGCTCCTATTGCACCCACTCTTCTTGTGAGGCTTAAATAACCGAACACATATGAAGTGTGCAGCAGAGTTCCTGGCACCTGGAAGTAATTCTAGATTAAGCTATCATTACTCCTGTTTTCTGAGCCTTAATTTCCTTGTTAGTGAAAGGGAGGTGAATAGTACTCGTAGTCCCGGGGCTGTGGGGATTGGGTGGAGTGAGACCCTCAGGGTGGTACGTTCAGTAGATGTCAGTGCAGATCCTACCCCAAGCCCACCTGCCCACCCCACACCCCAGCCCCACTCCTCGCTCTGCCGCAGAGGCCCTGGGGCAGGCCTCATGCCCAGTCAGTAACAGGTGGCAGAGCTGGCAGGGCACAGGTACAGCCTTGCAGGGGATGTGGGGGGTGGTCCCTCCTGTTTCCTTCCCCCAGCTGCTGGCTGCGCAGGCTGTGTCTGGGAGGAAGGCTGAGTGGAGGGAGGCAGCAGGCCCAGCCACGTGCAGCCTGGGCTGAGTAAGCGCCCCACTTCCTGCCGCCACTGTCAGCAGCTTCAGCCACCGTGGCCAGCGGGAGGCTCACAATGCTTGCTGTGGTAGGAGCTCGGGGACTGGGCAGGGTCACTTCCCTGAATTGTCCTCACCGCTGGCTCCTCCCAGCACACCTGGCCACCCGCCTGCTGCCTGGGGAATCATGGGGTGCCTGGCCCGGCCTGCAAGCACCATCCTGGGTGGCAGCCGGCACCCAGGCCTCACAGGCCAGGAGGTGAGACCTTGGCTGGGCACTTGCTCTGGGGTCTGGACACAGCACAAGGCTGGGACCGCAAGAGCGCCGCCAGGCTGGGTCTGAGTTTTGGCCCAAGTTGGCTGTGCCCTCAGCCAGGCAGCAACATGAGCGACCACTATGTGCAGGACTCTGCATCAGGGCTGGGCTCAGGCCACACTCCCTGCAGCCCTCCCTGGCAACATCTCCCACTATCTTGGTGGGCTTCAGGCATTAAAGACCCCAGCAGGCACACAGCCAGAAGAAATGCAAATGGCCAACACTGGCACAGAGAAATGTTCAACTGGACCAGCCAATAACAAAGGAAATATGTCCAAAGCCAACCCTGAGGCACGACTTTCATGGAACTCATGGGCAAAGATGTCAAAGAATGATAGTACCAGGGACTGTCAGGGTGTAGGGATCTCATCACTCTTAGACGTTGCAGGAAGGACTGCACACTAGGATGACCTTTTTGTAAAGCAAGTTGACAATAAGTATCGAAAGCTTTGACCCAGAAATTCTACTTCTAGGAATTTAAAGGACATGAGCAGCAACTACATATAGAGATGTCCATCACAGCATTGTTAATAATGGAGAAAACATTAGGTAAATCCTAAAGCCCAATTATAGGTGAGTTTGAAAAGAAAAATTTAGCCAGGCGCAGTGGCTCACACCTATAATCCCAGCACTTTGGGAGGCCAAGGTGGGTGGATCATTTGAGGTCAGGAGTTCGAGACCAGCCTGGCCAACATGGTGAAACCTTGTCTCTACTGAAAATGCAAAAATTAGCTGGGCGTGGTGGCAGGTGCCTGTAATCCCAGCTACTTGGGAGGCTGAGGCAGGAGAATCACTTGAAGCTGGGAGGTGGAGGTTGCAGTGAGCCGAGATTGTGGCACTGCACTCCAGCCTGGGCGACAGGAGGAGACTCTGTCTCAAAAAAAAAGAAAGAAAGGAAAGAGAAAGAAAGAAAGAAAGAAAGAAAGAAAGAAAGAAAGAAAGAAAGAAAGAAAGAAAGAAAGGAAGGAAGGAAGGAAGGAAGGAAGGAAGGAAGGAAGGAAGGAAGGAAGGAAGGAAGGAGGAAAGAAAGAAAGAAAGGAAGGAAGGAAAGAAAGAAGGAAAGAAAGAGAAAGAAAGAAAGAAAGAAAGAAAGAAAGAAAGAAAGAAAGAAAGAAAGAAAGAAAGAAAGAAAAGAAAAAAATTTAGCCATGCAGTTTTAAGTATCCCCTGGGTAAGTGGTAAGTATTTAACAATATGTAAGTGTTAAGAATGATGTCAAACAGTGTGCTCTCAAACTTCAATGTGCACAATAATTCCCTGGGAATCTCATTAAAATGCAGATTCTGATTCAATAGCTCTGCGATGAGACCTAAAGTTCTGCATTTCAACAAGCTCCCAGGTGATGCCAATGCTGCTGGTCCCCGGACCACTGTTTGAGCAGCAAAGCTGTAGAATTTTCACCATTGATATGAAAAGGCCTTCCCAAAATATGATAAAATGAAGAAAAGCATGCTGCAAAACAGATGTCATTTTATTTGTTTATTTATTTATTTATTTGAGACAGAGTCTCACTCTGTCACCCAGACTGAAGTGCAGTAGTGAGATCAAAGCTCACTGCAGCCTCAAACTCCTGGGCTTAAGTGACCTTCCTACCTCAGCCTCCCTAGTAGCTGGGACAAGAGGCATGCACTGCCATGACTAACTAATTTTTAAATTTTTTTTGTAGAGATGAGGGTCTCGCTATGTTGCCCAGACTGGTCTTGAACTCCTGGCCTCAAGCAATCCTCCCACTTTGACTTCCTGAAGCGCTGGGATTACGGGTGTGAGCTACCACACCTGCCATGACGCCATTTTTATAAGGAAAAAAATATATGCATGCACAGAAAATATCCACAAGGATATAACAAAATATTAATAAGGGTTTTCTCTGAGTAATAAGATTGGATAATGTTTATTATTTATGCTAATTTGTATTTTCTACAATGAATATACATTAATTATTGAATTAAGACAAATTTAGTGTGTTTTTACTGCGGGGCCACACTCCTAAATGTAAAGGGTAGTTCTCACTTGAAGGGGAGGCATTGGTAGACCAGTTATGAAAAGTGCGTCACTTGGTGCAGGAGTCAGCCCTGAGCTGGGAAGGCCTGGCTGGGCAGAGGTCTGGGAACAGGATTCTCTTGACCTGGACCATGAAGCTTCGAGGAATTTCCAGGTGGTGGACAATAAGCTGAGCTGTCCACATGGAGGCTGGCACAGGATGGAAGCTGAGGCCCCCAGCCCTTGACGCAGGAGGGCAGCTGTCTCAGACTCCAGATGCCGACCCATTCCCAACCCCTTGGCGTTTGTTTCCCCTCTGATCTTCCTTCCCTTGAGTAAACACTGGGACCAATGAGGTGGTAGCAGCAGGAGTCAGAAAGAGAGAGATCTCCTAAGGGAAGGTGAATCTGGTTTTGAAGGCAGAGATCAGATTCCCAGGATGGCTCCAGCAGAAGTTCTTTCTCTAGGACCAACCTCTGAAAGTCCAGATTTTGCTTCGACGGGGGACAGATTTCTCTTACAAAGTGGATACTACATGCTCCTGCTTGAGGATGATGTGATTCCAGAGAGGGGCATCAAGCATTTGCTCAGTATTTTGTGGGATAACGTGCTGGATGACCTTGGGTGGTCCCTGAAAACCTCACCAGCTGAGTTTTCTCAGCCATAACAGAAAGTACTATTTTGTGTGCTTCATAGGGCTGTGAGCTTCAAATGGCTTTTTTGTTTGTTTGGTTGGTTGGTTGGGTTTTTTTTGAGACAGGGTCTCACTCTGTCACCCAGGCTGTAGGGCAGTGGTGTGATCTCGGCTCACTGCAACCTCCACCTCCTGGGCTCCAGCTATCCTCTCACTGAGCCTCCTGAGTAGCAGGGACCACAGGCACGCACCACCACACCCAGCTAATTTTTTGTATTTTTGGTAGAGATGGTGCCTCCCTATGTTGCCCAGGTTGATCTCAAACTCCTGACCTCAAGTGATCTGCTTGCTTCAGCCTCCCAAAGTGCTGGGATTACAGGCGTGAGCCACCGCACCTGGCCTCAATTTTTTTTTTAATTTCTGCATGTGGCCAGAAGCAGTAGCTCATGCCTGTAATCCTAACACTTAGGGAGGCCGAGGCGGGCAGATCACTTGAGGTCAGGAGTTCAAGACCAGTCTGGCCAACTTAGTGAAACCCTGTTTCTACTTAAAATACAAAAATTAGCCGGGCATGGTGGCACATATCTGTAGTCCCAGCTACTCAGAAGGCTGAGGAAAGAGAATCGCTTGAACCTGGGAGGCAGAGGCTGCAGTGAGCCGAGATCACATCACTGCACTCCAGCCTGGGTGGTAGAGTGAGACCCTGTCTAAAAAATAAAAAAATAAGAATCAGCCAGGCACAGTGGCTCACGCCTATATGGCTCACAGACTATAGCGTTTGGTACTATCCATGATTTCAGGTATCCATGGGGGGTCTTGGAACCCCAGCACTTTGGGAGGCAGATGAGGGTGGATCATGAGGTTGGGAGATAGAAACCAGCCTGACCAACATGGTAAAACGCTGTCTCTACTAAAAATATAAAAATTAGCCAGGCGTGGTGGTGCGCGCCTGTAATCCCAGCTATATTCAGGAGGCTGAGGCAAGAGAATCGCTTGAACCCGGGAAGCAGAGTTTGCAGTGTGGCAAGATCACACCACTGCACTCCAGCCTGGGCGATAGAGCGAGACTCCATCTCAAAAAAATTAGCCAGGCATGGTGGCACGCACCTGTAATCCCAACTACTCGGGAAGCTGAAGCATGAGAATCGCTTGAACCTAGGAGGCAGAGGTTGCAGTGAGCCAAGATTGTGCCATTGCACTCCAGCCTGGGCGATAGAGCAAGACTGCCAAAAAAAAAAAATTCTCTGCACATTGTAAAAGGATGTGCCAAGGCTGAAAATCTCCCTATTCTTCTTGTTCTTTTTCAGAGAGAAGATGGCAGGAACCTTCTATGTTGCCCTCAGTGGCTTACCAGCTGAGGTTCTGCTCCCCTAGACGTCACCCCTACCCAGACCATGAGCTTAAAATGTTTATTTTTCTATGTCACTGGTTCATCTCAAGCATGAACATATGAGATGTTTTGGGGGCATGTTTAAGATGAATTTAGCTGGACTCCAAACACAGCCTTTAATAACATTGAATCATGGAGTGAGAAAGCTGTCCCATTTCCAATTCTCTTTCCAAACTTTTAATGAGCCAAAAGAAAGCCTTGGTTAGGAGGTAATGTGTCTATAACACCTCACTAACACTTGCTAATTTTCCTTTTAAACAAAAAGAAAGTGGGCCTTGGGCTTAGATTCTCTGCCAGCAAATCCAGCTATAATTTAATTGATTTTTGTAGTTACCTTTCTATTTAAGGTAGTGATACAAAGTTTCCTTTAAAAATATTTTTAAGTAAAAAAGAATCAATTAGCTTAAACAAATATAGTAGTCCCCCTTATCCAGTTTTACTTTCCATGGTTTCTGTTACCTGTAGTACAGTACAGTAAGACATTTTGAAAGAGAAATAGAGAGATGGACCACATTCACATAACTTTCATTACAATATATTGTTCTCCTTGTTCTATTTTTTTTTGAGACGGAGTTTCTCTCTGTCACCCAGGCTGGAGTGCAGTGGTGCTATCTCAGCTCACTGCAACCTCTGCCTCCTGGGTTTAAGCGATTCTCCTGCCTCAGCCTCCTGAGCAGCTGGAATTACAGGTGCACGCCACCATACTCGGCTAATTTTTGTATTTTTAGTAGAGACAGGGTTTTACCTGTTGGTCAGGTAAAACCCTGTCGGCCAGGGTTGGCCAGGCTGGTCTCGAGTGCCTGACCTCAAATGATCCACCCATCTTGGCCTCCCAAAGTGCTGGGATTACAGGCTTGAGCCATCTCGCTTGGTCTTTTTTTTTTTTTTTTTTTTAATAGAGACAGGGTCTTGTTATGTTGCCCAGGCTGGTCTCAAACTCCTGGCCTCAAGTGATCCTCCCACCTCAGTCTCTCAAAATGCTGAGATTACAGGCATGAGCCACTGAACCTGGTCTGTTCTATTTTATTACTTATTGTTGTTAGTCCCTTACTGTGCCTAATTTATAAATTAAACTTTATCACAGGTATGTAGTTATGGAAAAAAACAGACTATATAGGGTTTGGTACTATCCATGATTTCAGGCATCCACGGGGGGTCTTGGAACATATCCTCGATAAATAAGGGGGACTACGGTAAATAAGTAATACTACAGATGGCGATATGGTTCACCTGTGCCCCCACCCAACTCTCATCTTGAATTGTAGCTCCCGTAACTCCCACATGTCGTGGGAGGGACTCAGTGGGAAGTAATTGAATCATGGCGGCAGATCTTTCCCATGCTGTTCTCGTGATAGTGAATCTCACGAGAGCTGACGGTTTTATAAAGGGGAGTTCCCCTACACAAGCTTTCTCTTGCCTGCTGCCAGGTAAGATGTCCCTTTGCTCTTCCTTCATTTTCCATCATGATCGTGACACCTTCCCAGCCATGTGGAACTCTGAGTCCATTAAACCTCTTTCCTTAATAAATGACCTAGTCTTGGGTATGTCTTTATTAGCAGCACAAGAATAGACTAATAGAGATGGTATTTGGATATGGCAAGCAGCATGACTGTGGCACATGGTTATTGATAATTTTGGTCTCTGGGGAGATGCAGACATCCCTAGGAGAAGTGATACCTCCAAGGGACTCTTCTGAGACCCCTGCCAATTGCTGCTTTACTGTCTCCGTGTGATTCCTTGGCTTTTCTTTCTTTTACTGCTGAATTTTCAGCTCCTCAAAGGCTGAGACTGTGTCTTAAGCCTCAGAATCTCTCCCAGTACCCAGCACAGGGCCTGGAACAAGGTAGATGTCATTCAGAAAGTGCTAAGTGGCCAAGCAAGGTGGTTCTGTAATCCCAAGACTTTGGGAAGCTGAATCAGGAAGATTGCTTGAGCCTAGGAGCTTACGATCAGACTGGGGAGCATGGTAAGACTTCAGCTCTGCAGATAAAAAAATTAGCCAGGCATGGTGGTGCACCCCTGTGGTCTCAGCTACTTGAGAGGCTGAGGCAGAAGGATTCCTTGAGCCCAGGAGTTTGAGGCTGCAGTGAGCTGAGCTCGTGCCACTGCACTCCAGCCTGGATGACAGAGCAAGACTCTGTCTCAAAAAAAAAAGTGCTAAGAGGACTGAGATCAGAAGTCAGACTCCATGCAGCATAAGGAACCAGGAGCCTGAGTTCTGGTTCTGACCTCTAACCTTGCTAGCTGTGTGGGCCTGGACAAGTTCTTCAGCTTCTCTGAGTCTCCCTCACCTCATTCATCTGCCTCACAGCGGTGTTTCCAGCACAAAGTATATGAAAGGAGTCTGAAATCATACGTCTCTATAAGAGATTATTAATACTATTATTGGTTGAATCACAAATCTATTGTCACTGAAAATCTTTCCAGTGCAGACAACCAGAAGTAAAAATGAGGAAAAAAGGGAGGTGCTACGAGGGAATGAGAGGCAGGAGGCCTGGAAAGGGGGAATTGGGCCCCTCCTTTACAATCTGATCCGGGTGTGGGATCACCTGCAAACTGCCTGATATGGTTTGGCTGTATCCCCACCCAAATCTCATCTTGAATTGTAGCCCCCATAAGCCCCACGTGTTGTGGGAGGGACCCAGTGAGAGGTAAATGAATCATGGGGGTGGGTTTTTCCCATGCTGTTCTCGTGATAGTGAGTAAGTCTCACGATATCTGATGGTTTTATAAAGGGCAGTTCCCCTGCACACGCTCTCTTGTCTGCTGCCACGCAAGACGTGACTTTGCTCCTCCTTCCCCTTCTGCCATGATTGTGAGGCCTCCCCAGTCATGTGGAACTCTTGAGTCCATTAAACCTCTTTTTCTTTATAAATTACCCAGTCTCAGATATTTCTTCATAGCAGTGTGAAAATGGACTAATATACTGCCCCCTGTGACCTCAGCATAGGCCTTCCCCAGCACGGGACCCCGGCAATGTCTAATGCAAAAAGCATGGTCTGGCATCATATAACTAGTGTTCAAGTTCCAGCTCAGCCACCTACTGGCTGGGTGACCTGAGGTAAGTTACCCAACCTCTCTGTGCTCATGATTCTCATCACTAAAGTGGGACCAATGCCAACCTCTCAAGCCCGTTGTGAGAAATGAATAAGATCACACATGTATACATGAGCCCTGACATGTAGTAAGTGCTTGGTGAATATGGGTTCCAGGGAATTCTGCAGGCTCCTGGAAGAAAGATACGGAAATGATTCAGGTGCATGATGTCATCTGGAGCATTGAATTCATCATCTGGGAGAACTGGACTCCCCAGAGCTTTCCTGACCTGAAGCTAGAGCTGGAAAGTAAGAGAGTAAAATCACAGATGTCAGTTTCCAACTCCACCTCCATTCTCACCCCACGCCCTCCCACCCCCACCTCATTACACCCAAAGTAGGGGCCAATCCTGTCCCTTAGGATCTCTTGGGCTATAGACTCGAGACCTTGCTCTTTCAGATGAAGGAAGCTGGAGGCAGAGGAGGATCTTTGGAGAAGCAGCCAAGTGTTCTTTGACTCATAGAAGAGTCCAAGGCCCGAGGGGCCAGCTGGAGGTCCACTGTCTGTCTGCTGAAAGCTCTGCTAGACTTTCTGTCTCCTCCACCCCTGGAGATCCAACCATAAGTGGAATTAATCCGGCTCCCCTCTGCACCCCTTGCCCCCAACACAGTTTCCTTCCTGTGCTCCATGGGAGATGAGAGCTGAAAGGGAGGGATGCATCTGGGGAGGCTGGTCTAGCTCAGCTGGACCACAACATCTGTATCCTTAGCTGTGGCCTCCTCGTTCCTGCTTCAAACTGGGAGGGAATGGAAGAGCCCAGTTCTTCCCAGGAAACTGATGTGACTCACTTCCCAGGAGGAGCCATGGAAGAATGCAATCTTTTCTCTATGACACTCATATAGAACCATGGGACTAATTTTCTCACCTTTAGAAGGCAAAAATGGGAAACAGCACATTTTAATAGAAAACTCCAAAATAATAGTGGTTTAAACAAGATAGAAGCTTATTTCTCCAACACATAATAATAATTCTGGATGTAAGCAGGTCAGGGCCGGTATGGCAGTTCCACACAGTTTTCAGGGTACCAATTTCCTTGCAAATAATTCTCATGGCCCAGGATGACTGCAAGAGCTCCTACCATCAGGTTTGAATTCCAGGCAATGTCTGGCAGATAGGGAAGCAGTGAAACATGCTCCTTCCTTTAAAGATACTTCCCAAAGGTCAAGCCCAACATTTTCACTTACACCCAGACCCTAAGAAATTCTAAGGGGTCAGGGATTGGCCAAAACGTAGTTCCAAGGCCACAGCCAGCTCCAAAAAAGGCTGAGAAACAAATTATTTTATCAGGATGACACTGGGTCCCATCCCTCTCCTCCCACGGTCACTGTCTTGATTCAGGCCACTCAGCTCTGCAGTAACCACAGATCTTGTTTTCCTGCCTCTGGGACAAACCCTTCACCTGTCCTCAGTTGTTTCTCCAAAACACACATCTGGCTATATCACTCCCCTGCTCAAGAACCGGCGATGGCTCCCTAGAGCCCTTGGAATAAACTGTGAACTCTCAGTCTGGTCTTCAAATCTCTTCACAACCTGACCCCAGCCAGCCTCACCTCCAGGCATAGCCCTTCCCCTCCCCTGCACACAGTCTAGCCCCATCAGATTCCTAGATGTTCCTCAAATAACCCATACTGTGTCCAGCTTCACTCCTTGACTATAATGCCCTTTCTGCCCTTCTATTCCTCATAAGCTTCAATCCGTCCTGTAAGATGCTACACAAGCATTACTTTCTCCAGGTCACATCTTTCTTGACCCCTTTCCTGCTCCCTCTGTGGGCCTCCTCAGAAGTCTCCCGAACACTCTGTCTTCCACACGCCTGAATGTGCTGGAGAGGACAGGCCACCTGGAACGTGCAGACCTGCTCAGCTGCCTGCAACCACAAGTCTGCGTCAGAGCCCCTGGAAGCTCTTTTTTGCACAGACTTGGTATTAAGCCAATGTTAAGCTGTTCTTCCTGGACTGGAAGCTGCTCGAGAGCCATCACCGTCTTGGTGTCCCCAGCACTGAGCCAGAGCTGGCACCGTACAGGGTTGAATGCAGGAAGAACTCATAGAACACTCAGTTTCTTGTCTCCTTCCTCCTTAGCTCAGGCCACCCCTGCCAGGAGCCTCTGCTCTTTGTCAGGGATGAAATCTGAGCCTGCCACACAGGTGCTCTGGTCCTGTGGAATCACCCACCCTGGCCTCGCTCTCTCTGAAGCACAGAGGACAACTGACCAAGCTGTAACACTCCAAGGGATGACAGTAAAATGGAACAGATCCAGCTCTCCCAGTGTCCTCACCCAGATCCATGCTGCTCCAATTATGAGTTTAGTCCGTACTGTCCCCACTGACCTCCTGCTCCCTAGCAGAGACAGCGTCACTCCCAACAAGCACATTAGCCCCTTGCCATCCCCCAGGCTCCCCGGATCAGGATGAGCACTGGATCTCCTGCCAAGCGGAGACTCCAGACCTTCACCCCAGTGCCAGCTCCGGGATGCCGAGTGACAGCCTTCGGGGCCAGACTGGCTGCCTCCCGACTCTGCAGCCTTTGGACACAGTGTGCAGAGGGTGAGGGGCCGCTTCCTCTGTCTCTGAGACATGGGGGACCCCAAGCCCCTCCCACAGTCGCTCAGGGAAGTCCTTCAGTTACCACCCAGAAAGCAGGCATTGCTTTTTTTTTTTTCCCCATTTGGGGTGGGGAAGTCCCCTGAAGAAGACTTTAGTCACACTGCCACCTTGAAGACACGCTGGGGCATTAAGACCTCCTTCTCCAAGAAGCCTCAGGCCCTGGTCCCGGGGCCCATCTCCTCTCCCTTTTCACAGAATCTTCTAGCAGGGCTCGGATGCCTTCCCTAAGGGAAGGGATGGTCAGGATTCCCAGGCCAGGGAGATCCAATATGTATTTTGATTCCCCACCTTTATATACACACGCACACACGCAGCCTAGCATCATCTTCCCCACCGTTTATGCTCCCTTAGCATTTTGTACCTTGGCTGTGTTCATCAGAGGCTGATTCATAATTATCTGTGGTTGTCTAGGAACTGGGATCACCTCTGTCTCCTTATGTGCCTGGCACACAGAACAGGCCCCATGGACATGGGCACCCTCTTCTCTCTCATCTTATCCCCAGATCCTTCTCTATGGAGAAGGGGGTCTTGGAGGTTGGCTCCTCCCCTTGGAGGGCTGAGAAATAACCCAGAGACTCTCCTGTTCTGGGATGGCTTCCCTGACAGGTGACCAGGGTGGTCTGCTAGGAGCTTGGAGGAAATGTATTTTCTCCCCGAAACAATCAAGATCACTGAAGTTGTTAAGCATTTACAACGTACTGTGCTGCATGATTGGCTTCCTCTTCCTCATTTAAGCCACACAGCCCGCCCCTGAGATGGGTTAGGAAGCTGCAAAGACTTGCCCAAGGTCACACGGCCAGTAAGAAGCAGGATCTTAATCCCTCCCCGACACTGTCTCCTAGGTCAGCCTCAGCTGATCCTTGTCCATTTCTCTTGCTTCTGTTACTTGCGGGCTGCGGGACCCAGGACCTCGCATGAGTGACTTCACCTCTCTTGACCTCCATTTTCTCAGCTGAAATGTGGGCACAATAATACTTCCCTTGAAGGTGGTTCAGAAATTTCCAAGTATTGAGCGTGTTAAGCAGGGAGCCTGCACAGAGTAGGTGCAAATGGCAGGAGCCACCACCTGCCAGCATCCCCCAGGCCTCCCCAGTGGAGTGGGGGCAGAGGAAGTGGTGACCTACTGCCCCCTCTGAGGAGAACCACCCAGCTGTCAACCCGAGGCGGGACCGCCCCGAGCGATCGCAGGCTCTCCATTTCTCCAAAGCCTCCGTTCCTCATCACAGCCAATTAGTTACAAATAGCTTCCTCTCCTCGTGTATCACTTACACAACAGAAAGGGGTGATTGTTCCTGAGGAAGAAGGTCTCCCTGGGCCCCTCTCGCCAGAGCAGCTGAGAGCTGCAATGGGGATGGGAAAGGGGCTTAGGAGAAGAGGGGCACAGTCCCGGGAACTAAGGATGTGGTGGGTCCCAGGCAGGTGGGAAGGGACTGGCTGAGTGTCCACCCCTGGTGGGCAACAGACAGGTAGGGGTCCAAGGCTTAGAAAGGGCCCTGTGTTGTAAGAGCAGAAAATGAAGATAGCTCAGAGGCCTCGCTCCTGAACAGCAGCTCACCAAGCCATCCCCAGCTGGGAAGGGACTGGCTGATTGTCCATCCCTGGTGGGCAACAGACAGGTAGGGGTCCAAGGCTTAGAAAGGGCCCTGTGTTGTAAGAGCAGAAAATGAAGATAGCTCAGAGGACTCGCTCCTGAACAGCAGCTCACCAAGCCATCCCCAGCTGGGGAGGGATTGTCACCCTCTGGGGTACCTGGAACAGAGCAGGTGCCCGGCCTCTGGATTTCAGAAGAGCTTTCTACACCACTGGGATATAAACACCCTCTCTCAAATCAGCCATGGCTGGCACTCCAGTCCTCCAGTTTTCTTCTTTTCTTTCTTCTTCCTTTTTGTTGTTTTGTTTTCCGGAGACAGGATCTCACTCTGTCGCCCAGGCTGGAGAGCAGTGTTGTTGTGTTATCACAGCTCACTGCAGCCTCAACCTCCTGAGCTCAGGCAATCCTCCTGCCTCAGTCTCTTGAGTAGCTGGGACCACAAGAACACACCACCATGCCTGGCTATTTTTTTTTCATACAGATGGGGTCTCACTATGTTGTCCAGACTGGTCTCAAATTCCCCCCAGGTTTCAATAAAGCCCAGGTTATTGAAGCTGGGTCCTGGAAGAGCCTGGGAGGAGACTCAGTGTTCGGGAGGCTGTCTGGACATGAGGTGTGGGCTGTGGCTCCCAGAGCCTCCCTATGTCCTTGATGGTCCTTGACTTTGCTGCCACCATTAAGCCAGGTCCCTCCATTAAAGCTTAGGGCCAAGCACGCACAGAGTCCCCCTTTGTCACCACTCTTAGCACAGCTGAGACCAGCTGGCATTTTCACAAAGGGCTTTACTAAATACTAAGGGAGAACGAAAGGGAAATAATTACAGAAAACACGAAAAACCCAGCCCTGGCTGCCAAGTTCCCAAAGTACAGGTTTCCATTCCTTTGGTGATGACACATTGCCCCAGAAGCCTGGGACAAGGCCGTGGGCACCTTGCCTGGCTTCCCTCGTTCCCAGCTCTTGTGGCAGATGCCATCTTCTTTCCCACTCCTGGAAACACTTGGACACCCATGGGCTCTTCTCCTGGCCCCCTTCCAACAGGGCCCCACCCCAGGCCTCCCACTGGGTTCTGGTCTCTGGCCTGAGACATAAGCCTTGTCCCCTGGTGGCTGGTGGGGCTGTGGTGACCAACCCAGCACATGATTACACAGTAACAAGAGATGGTTCCCCCACACTCTCCGTCCCTCACCATCAGAGGGGCCCACCCAAGTTGAAAGTTCTTGAGTATGGGGTCTAGGAGGGGGCACCTCTGAACAGCTGAAGGGCACGTGAGTAAGGGAGGGCCAGACTTGGGACATTTTCCCCATGCGGAAGGTCTAGTCTCTGAGGATTGATCCAACTCAAAACATATCAATTAAGGCCTACTATGTCCCAGACACTGAGCAAGGTGTGGAGGCTACAAGGGTAAACAAGAGACACAGTACCTGCCCTCTTAGATCTTACCATCTTTTAGGCAAGACAGATAAGCAACTGGGCAATTGTGATACTGAAGGCCAGGTGCCATGATGGAGGGGAATTCAAGGTACTGTGGGAACCTGTACCAGGGATGTCTTACCCAGTGCTGGTTGCCAGGGAAGCCATGGAATCCTGCCTAGAACAAGTGCATAAAGAGAAGAAGAGCTCAGGATGGAGGCTGGGGTGGGTCCACAGGAAATCGCAGCCCAGGAGGCAGGGCAAGAAGGCAGAGGCCAACCAAGCATCTGCTTGCTAGCAGCTTTGAGTAGCTGCTGGCTATAATGCAGGTTCAGTCTATAAAGTGAAAAGGCCCTTGGCCCAGAGCTGCCCACTGTTTCCCTTTCTACCAGTCATGAAGGGGAAGATAATCCTTGGATGCTACACTTCTCAGCCACCCAAGTCCGGGACTCAGGAACAAGGTCAGAAGCAGAGGGTGTTTACCCAGGACCACTTGAGACACCTCTCCAGAGGCAGGTGCTGAATTGTCGTTAAGAGAGGACAAGTCATCACTGGGGAAAAGTTCATAGGGCCAAGACAACAAAGAGGCTAGAAAATGGGAAAATGGCTAGAAAATGGGGAAGTGAGTCAGGAAGCTGAAAGCCTACAAGCTGGGATGGGTTGGGGCAGGTGTTTCAGGCTAACACGATGACTAATAATATGGGAAACTGTGTTTGCAGGATGCCTTGGGGGCCAGGGGCTGGCCTGCAGACTGGAAGCCATGACTGCTCAGGGTCCACTGCATTGTCATGGCCCAGTGTTTCCACACCCAACCCCTCATGTTTATCTGTATCTGCCCGACTCCCCGCATAAGAGTCAGCTCCTGAAATCAGGGCTCCTTCCTTCCACACATCAACCATCCCAAGTCTGTCAAGCATCCATTCTGCTCCAGCATGGGGAAGACCCAGAAACGGCTCAAGACATCAGCCCTCACCTTCAACGTCCTTGCAGTAAGGTTGGGAGCTAGCGCTTAGGTTCACTGGAAAGACCTTTGGAGAAAGATCTCGGCTTGATCCCCATCACTGTTCCTTTTTAAGTAGCTAAACGACTATTGGAAAATTACATAAACTCCCTGGGCCTCCATCTTTCCATCTTCAAAATGGAAATAATTAAAACCTACCACTACAATGTGATCAGAATTCAATGAGTCAAGGTGGTTAGAGCACCAAGCACACTGTTTGGCATATAATAGATGTTCAATAAATATTACTTCTCTCCCTGAAACAACAGCAAGAGATTGTGGTGATAAACAGTTAAGTGTTGAGTTGTGGGCACTGACTGCCACCCCCTAAGCACCTGGGTCTACTTCAAGGGCCTCAGTGACAGTTGAGGATTGAGAGCCTGCACTGTGATGGTGAGAATTAGTGTTTGTGTGCACCTATGCAAATCGCTCCATTTTCTTTCTCCACTGCCACAGGCAGAAGCATAAGATTCTTTATTTTCTATCTCATGTCCATGCTACAGGACTCTGCTCTGTAACTGTAGTTTGTTTTTTGTTTGTTTGTTTTGGTTTGTTTTTTTGAGATGGAGTTCTACTCTGTCGTCCAGACTGGAGTGCAGTGGCACGATCTCGGCTCACTGAAACCTCTGCCTCCTGAGTTCAAGTGATTCTCCTGCCTCAGCCTCCCGAGTAGCTAGGATTACAGGTGCCTCCCACCACGCCCAGTTAATTTTTGTATTTTAAGTAGAGACGGGGTTTTACCATGTTTGCCAGGCGGGTCTCGAACTCCTAATCTCAGGTGATCTGTCCTTCTTGGCCTCCCAAAGTGTTGGGATTACAGGCGTGAGCCACTGCACCTGGTCTAACTGTAGTATTTTTATTTCTCTAATACAAGTCAAAAATTAAATTAGAAATCGTGATCAATTGCTACCATTCTTTGCACCAAAGGTGCTTTCTCAGTCCTCGCACAACCCTATGAGGTAAGTACTGTTATCATTCCCACTCCTACAGATGGAGGAAGCTGGGGCTCTGAAAGCAAAGGAAGCTGCTTGAGGCGATGTGGCTGGTCAATAGTGGGGCCAGTGTACAAAGGAGCACAGCCTGGGCAAGATGGCAAGACCCTGTCTTTACCCCCAAAAAAAAAAAGTTTTTAAATTAACTGGGCATGGTAGCACACACCTGTAGACCCAGTTATTCTGGAGGCTGAGGCGGGAGGATCCCTTGAGCCCAGGAATTGGAGGCTGCAGTGAGCTATAGCCAGTGCTACACCAGTGCACTGTAGCCTGGGAGAGAGAGCAAGACCTCGTTTCTAAAAATTAAAATTAAAATTACAAAAATTTAAAAAAAAAACAAGGGAGCAGAATTACTAGCACAGCTGCTCTGGACTGGATGTGAGCAAGAACAAACTTTGATTCAATCCATGGAAATGTTAGAGTCTCCTTGGTCTCTGCCGCTGAGCCTACCCTAGGCTAATTCATCTCACAGCCCAGGAAGCTGGGTTTAGAAGGGTATGGTCCCCAATTTAGTGATGAAGGACTGAGGTGCACTTGTGGGAACCACAGACTTCGCCCAAGGTGTTGAGTTCACTCAGGAAAGAGAACTTCGGCATCCCCAGCCATCGGTATCCCCCTACTCCATGAATGTAAACTCAGAGAGACCCTCCATATCATATCCCTAGCACCTAGAGCAGTTCCTGGAGCATAGCAGGGCTCAGGCAATACATGCCAAATGAAAAAACAAATTAATGAATACAGGCTGGGCGCGGTGGCTCACACCTGTAATCCCAGCACTTTGGGAGACTGAGGTGGGTGGATCACTTGAGACCAGGAGTTCTCGACCAGTCTGGCCAACATGACAAAAACCTGTCTCTACTAAAAATACAAAAATTAGCCAGGCATGGTGGTGTACACCTGCAATCCCAGCTACTTGGGAGGCTGAGGCACAAGAATCGCTTGAACCCATGAGGCAGATGTTGCAGTGAGCCGAGATTGCGCCACTGTCTACCAGCCTAGGCGACAGAGCAAGACTCTGTCTCAGAAAAAAAAAAAAAAAATACAAACTCATACACAATAGACACATCCCATGCATAAGTGCTAGAAACACTCAGTTATAGACAAGCATATACAATGAAGATACTTAAGCACACGCGCACACACTTGTGCACAATACACACCTGTGCCCACATACACAAATCCATACCCAAACTAAAGACACACACAAACACGTGTATGTATACAAAGATGTTATGGGCAACATATACAATACATATATGCACAAACACACACCTACTCACCCTCACACACATGCACAGTGACCCTCCACAATGATTCTGGGCCCAGGAAGCAGTTTGTCTACCCCACGAACCCCAGCTTGTTTGAAGCTCGTCAGGATGTTCCTTGCAGACCCCGCTTAGCCAGCTGGTGACTGGCCCCCGCCTCCTGAACCTCCAGGCTTAGGGCCGGCCAGGCAGGCAGGCTGCATCTCTGGCAGCCCCTCGTGGGTGGGCAGGCAGGCAGGCAGTGGACGCAGAGGTCACTGGGGTGAGAGCTGGGGCTGCCCTGGCCTCCCTGCTCTTGGCTGGAATGTGAGCTGTAGGGGCCACTTCCCAGGCCTCGCTCCTCCCCCACAGCCACCCACCAGCCCCAGGCCCAGCCAACTCGTGACTCCCAGTCCTGCCAGGTTCCTGCAGCCTGGGAGCTGGACACAGAAGGCAGTGAGAGGAGTGGTGGTAAAGAAAGATCCAGAACCAAGGGAGGGCACACACAAACGCAGAGAGAGAGGCACAGTCTTCACCCACAGAGACAGACACACACACGCAGAGACAGGCAGGCGTGCAGACTCACAGTCCCACCGAAAGATACACATTCAGACACTTCCAAACACACCCAGATACACAGCGGACACGAACAGATCACACAAGCATACAGAGATACAGAGAGACCTGACCCCCACACAGAGGCGTATTTGGAGGTACAGTAGTCACACGTACTCAGACCACACAGAGGCTCAGATGCACCGCTCATGGATATTCACAGACCCGCAAATGCCCATGCACACGCGCAGATGCACACAGACCCCCGCGCAGCGTACAGTTCCTCCTCGGCCAGGGACCAGGAGGAGATGCCTGAGTGAGACCACTCTCTACCACAGGGGGCTGCCCCGCAGGGAGGGCCTGGGAAGACTGCTTCCCAAGGAGGCAACAGGCCTGATCCTCCAGCCAGGTGCCCTGAGAGGTTTCCTGTGGGAGGCCCACTGTGTCCGTGCCTGGCTAGGAGGGTGGTAGGTCGGGTTAGAGTTCTGGAGTCACGTAGGCTTGGGTTTTGTCTCTGCCAGTTCCTCGGACACACAGATGCGCGCACACACACAACACACACACACTTTCCAAGAATGCCTATGTCCATTCGACATATGCAGGCAGGGGTGCTCTCGGAGCCTCGGTTTCTTCATCTATATAACCTGGCTAGGAATCCCTTGGCCCCCTAGGGGTGTGGGCATGGCTGCCTTCCCAGGCATCCCGGACGGCCCTTCCTGCAGAGGCGGTTAGATCATGAGCCTTGACGGCTGACGCTGGACTCCTGGATGCCCCCATCCCAGGTGACCGCCCTGAGAGCCGAAGCAGGGCTGTGGGCCCTGTGGGCGGGCGCGGCGCGGCCCGGGGAGCTGCGGGCTGGGCTCGGCGAGGCGTCTGGACCTGCCGAGAGCCCCTCGCACGCACTGCGGGCTCCGGCGCTGCGGGCTGGCCGGGCGCTGCGGGCTGACCGGGCGCTCCGGGAACTCGGCTCGGGAACCTCGTCTGCGGTGGGCGGGGCCGGCCCGGAGCCCCGCCCCGGCTCAGTCCCTGAAACCCAGGCGCGGACCGGCTGCAGTCTCAGAAGGGAGCTGCTGTCTGCGGAGGAAACTGCATCGACGGACGGCCGCCCAGCTACGGGAGGACCTGGAGTGGCACTGGGCGCCCGACGGACCATCCCCGGGACCCGCCTGCCCCTCGGCGCCCCGCCCCGCCGGGCCGCTCCCCGTCGGGTTCCCCAGCCACAGCCTTACCTACGGGCTCCTGACTCCGCAAGGCTTCCAGAAGATGCTCGAACCACCGGCCGGGGCCTCGGGGCAGCAGTGAGGGAGGCGTCCAGCCCCCCACTCAGCTCTTCTCCTCCTGTGCCAGGGGCTCCCCGGGGGATGAGCATGGTGGTTTTCCCTCGGAGCCCCCTGGCTCGGGACGTCTGAGAAGATGCCGGTCATGAGGCTGTTCCCTTGCTTCCTGCAGCTCCTGGCCGGGCTGGCGCTGCCTGCTGTGCCCCCCCAGGTAAGAGCTACCCCCACCTAGCCTGGCTCCCCAGACCTCCCCATCCCAGCACTGGAAGCATGGGACTCTGAAATCACAGACCCACTCCAGGGAGCAGCAACTCCAAGGATGTCCACACACTTCCTAAAGGCCAGGCTGGACTTCTTTCGTTTGGGAAGAGACCTCAGGCTGGCTGTCCCCCAGGTCCTGGGGGCTGTCTTGGTGGGGGCAGGGAAGCCACAGGGAGGGAGGGAGGGAGGGAGGTTTCCTGTCTGGCCCCTGGAGCCCTGGTGGCTTTGCTAAAAGCATCTGTCCACTAATCCCAGGCGGGTCCCTGGCCTTGTGGTCAGGGTCGAGGCCCCATGGCCAACCAGGCGTCCCCAGGACCTCTGACCTGGCCTGGTGGGGGTGGCGGAGGAGCCAGCTGAAGAAGCTGTTGGTGGGGAGGCTGGCCCTGCCCCCACCAGGGCTCAGGACTGAGCCGTGGGCTCCTGGGTGGGCTGGGGACGAGACAAGGGGTCTCGCTGTGCCTTTTCTCCTGGGTGGGTGGCCGGAGGTCCTGAGTGCAGGGCCTGGGGAAGTGAGCAGGGCCCTTTTCCCAGGAGCCGGGTGAGTCTGGCTGGGAGCCAGCTTGGGCAGTGAAATCCTGACAAAGCCAATGAACTGCCTTCCCACTGCGTTGTCCCACTGCCCTGGGAGTCCCCAGCCCCAGCCCAAGAGTAGGAGTGGGCTGGGCAGTCCCTGAGGAGTCCGAGCAGCCCAGCCACCCGCCTGCCTGCTGCAGGGCTGGCCAGAGGTGTAACGTTACCGGCTGCACCAGCTCATGGCGCCACCCGCTCCAGCCCCTCAGCTCCCACCAGCTGATCACCTCCCCCTGGGCTCTGGCACCCAGCCAAGGCGGGCTGTGCAGGGCCCAGCAGGGTTGGCCTGGGGGCTGGGTAGAAGGCAGACCCGCAGGATTGGAAGATCTTTGGGATGCAGCAGGCCAAGGGTCTCCAAAAGCTTCTAGCCTCCCATCCTTTTCCAAATGAGGAAAACTGAGGCCAGAGAGGGGTGGGACCTAACCTACCCAGGGTCCAGTGAGTTTTTAGTGGTACTCAGGCTGCTCTGAGACAGGGCAGAGCATGTGCAGCAAGTGGGAAGGAACCCAGAGGGGCCCCTACCTTCTTGCCATCACACTTGGCCCAAGAGTGCAGAGCTCCAAGGTACCCCCAGCTCACCTCTGCACTTTTCTGTCCATAGCAGTGGGCCTTGTCTGCTGGGAACGGCTCGTCAGAGGTGGAAGGTAAGCTGGCCAGGCTGGGGGTACGCATGCTCCCCAAGCCCCTCTCTTCCTTTCTCCCAAGCCCAGGTGTGGCATGAAGCGTGGGTGCAGGTTGATAAAAGCTGGGGAGAGCCTACAAGCTAGACATGCTGGGTGATGACTTTGGCAGGGCCTAAGAGATCCCCTCATGGTGACCCAGAGACTAGAGAGGTGTGGGCTGGAGTCACCAGCACACGGAGAGTGGGGCTGGGGCCAGTATAGCCAGGGTTCATCCAGCTGGCTCAGAGCCCTTCCCCAGCATGATTTAAGGGTATGGATGGGGTCTTGGAGGACAGGGTGGGGAGTGAGTGCCAGGGGCCAGAATGGGGGTCTGGGAGCTGAATGCAGTGGGCAGTCAAGAGGATCAGGAATGGGTGAGGGGCCCTCCCCAGCAGCCCAGCCCTGGTGGAACTGCCGGGATCTGACCATGCGTTTCCATTGATTATAAACAGACAGAACATAGTCGCGCCCTCCCTGGCCCCTCCACTCCCCGCCCTGGTTGCATCAAGAGGGAGTCTTCAAAGGGCAACGAGACGTTTGCCAAAGAGACATATGTACAGAAGGCAGGAGGCCCATGCCAGGCCCCCTACCTCGCTCCTCCCTCCCTGCCTCTCCAAGACGTGCAAAGTGGCCACACACCACCGCTGAGGTTTCCCCTGCGCCATGGGAGAGTGGGCATGTAGGGACATGCACACGCACACGCGTGATAGCCATCTGCGTGCTGGGAACACCCTCTGCTGGGCTGCCTGCCTGGCAGCCCGCCTCTCCCGGGCCTGGCCATACTCTGACACCTAAGGCTTAGGCCCCTAGACCCCTGAGCAGGTAGAGGAGGTAGCTGCCCTTGACCTCATGGATGCCTCCCTTGCTGTGCCTCTGGAACCAGCACAACATTATGCTCCTTGGGATTTGGGGAAGGACCCATCCCCTACCTCCACACTATGCCCTTTTTGGTGCTTTTAGTGTAGGTCAGGCCACAGCTACCAAAGATGCCTTAGCCTCAGTTTTCTCATCTGTAAAATGGGAGCCTTGGCTACATGATGTCTATGGTTTCTTCTTTTTCCGAGATTGAAAAAGGGACTTGTCCTCTGACTCCAGGGAGGAGAAATGGGTGTACATATCACCCAGGATTTGAGGTGGGGAGGCCTGGAAGTGTAGATTCATTAGGTCAGCTCTCCTGTCACACTTATCAATCAGGGAGTCTGCAATCTGACCGGGAGAAGTACAACGAGCTTTGCACCCCAGCTCTCAAAATCTGAAAATGGCATCCCCACCTGTTAACACCACAGCCAGAGACAGCATGGCCAGCCATGGGCATTGATTTTTACTATTACTATTCACGGTAACAATGTTAGGCATTTTCTGTCATTCTGTTTTGACCACAGGCTGTGAAGTAGGAAGGGGTTGTACTCCATTTTTACAGATGCAGGCAGGCCCTGAGGCTCAGAGAGGCCCTGGGGGTCGCCCCAAGCCTCAGACACTCCTCATGGATCTGGCAGAACCAAGTGCTCCCAATAGCTCCGTGGCTGAGCGGGCATGAGCAGGGTGTCCCTTGTGGCAGGCTGTCTGTGTGCCCTGCCAGTGACCATGGAGAGGACACTTGTGGGCTTGGGCTGGTGGCCAGTGGCTCTGCCCAGCCCTGTGGCCCGTCTCCAGTGCCCTCCACAGAAACTTGCTCTCAGGATTAAGCATTTCTCTCCTGGGGTCTCCCCCATCCCAGGTGGTAGGTAGGCAGGTGGGAGGCTCACTCACAGGGCTGGCGAGAGAGCTGAGGGCACACTTGCAGCCTCAGGAGCAGCCCTGGGGACCACCCAGCCCTGGCAGTGCCTGAGGGGGCCCTGAGGGGGCCACAGCTTCCCGTTGCTCTCACCTCCACCCCCTCCCGGAGCAGGTCTGGGGCCAGCGGAAGTGCTCTCGGGGACAGCTGAGCAGAGCTCTTTCCTGAGGGACACAGCCCACATCTGGGAGCGGTCACTGTACTCCCTCAGCCCGGCCCCTCACCCAGCCCCTTTTGTTTCTCCCACACACCCATAGCGGGGCCTTCAGGGATGAATTGCCCTTTCCTGGTGGCTGCCAGGTAAACCAGGCTCCAGCCCACCTCCTTCTCAGCCCTCCCCCAACACAGTTCGGCCACAGGGCTGGGAAAGTGGCAGATTCCAGGGTTTCAGGGACCCGGAACCTGCATGGTGGGATGTGGGGTGAGGAAAGGAAATCCCTTCTTCTGCTGCCGAGGCCCAGCCAGTTCTGCCAAAGGTGGCCATGGCCCCGCAGCCCAGCTGGGTGGGTGTCTGTTTGCAGGATGGAGGGGGCTGGGGTGCCCCTTCTCTGCTGCTGTCCCCTCGCTGACGGCTGGTCCCAGGGCAGGAACCTGAGTCTTCTGTGGTGCTTTGGCAGCTCATTATTCCTCTGCTGTTATTTATGTTTTCCAAGGTGGAGATTAAACGTTCAGAGTCACGTAGTGCTCATGAAGATTTTAAACTAAACACACAGCTCAAGGAGCTGGTGATAGGGAGGTGCTCTCTGACCCAGGATTGCAAAGGCAGGCTTCCCTGCACTTTGGGCGCCTTTGGGGAGAGAGGCCTTGTTTCCCACTGGGTTCCGGGGCAGTATCCAGTGGCGCGGAGTGGTAGAGTCAGAGGAGGCCTATGGATTCCCCCCACCACCAGCCCCTAGGCCCTAGTGCCCTCTAAGCAGAGCACGGCAGAATGGAGCAGAATGGAGCAGCAAACAAGCAGATAACACTGTTTATTGCCTCTATGACTGCCTAGCCAGCTCCACATGGACACACCGCCTCTGGGTATTTTCCACCAGTTTGCAGCCTTTCCCGAGGGCCTCTGCTAGGACTGAAGTTTATTTTTCTTCCGAGATTACCAGGAGGCTCATGTCCTCATAGGCTCAGTGGAATGGACTTTGGCCCCTTCTGCCTCCTAGGCAGAGGCATGGAAGAAATGAGGGGTTGCTGGGAGAGGCCATTGTTCCATGGCAGAGGCTGCAGGACCCCCAGCTCCCCATTCTTCCCCACTAGCTGAGGATGACCATCAGATGCAGAGCAGGATGACCCAGGCCTGGGGGTGTTTCTCTGTCCATGGTCTCTGGGCTGGGCTGGGTTGCAGGCACTGATTCACAGGCGGTTGGTCAGAGAGGGAAAGACCTTAGCAACCATTTATTCCCAACCTTCTTTTTTCCCACCTGAGGAAACTGATCTATCCAGAAAGGTTAAGTGATCTCCCCAAGGTCACATAGCCAGTGTAGGGCCAGGACTGGAAGCCAGGTGTCTGACTCTGGCCACTCTCCCTGTGAGCCTCTATTTGGGGCCTGGTCCTAGGCCTTCCCCCGAAAGAGCAGCATCTTTTGAGGGATTCCAGATCAGCCCCCAAAAGATCCCATTCACGATCGCCAGGACATCGTGAGGTCAGGGATGACCCGGATGATCCTCAGTGAAATGTCATCTAATCAACCAGGAGTGACTTAGCCTGTGTTTACGGGTACGTCCATCTCTGCCCTCATGGAGCCTCGAGTTGGTTGTAAAGGAGATAAGAGCAAGCAGTGCCGGAGATAAGGCAACCCCTTGAGGCCAGAGGCCAAGCAGTGCTCAAGGGAGGCTCATCTGTGTGCACTGGAATTGCTGGGGAAGTCTTCAAAGAGGAGGTGGGGAGGCAGGTCGTGGAAAATGGCGGGTGGACTTTATTTGGATAGAAATGAGAGGAGGGGGAAGAAGAGCAGCTGTACGGGCTGCAGAGTGCACAAGCCAGAGCTGGGAGTGAATGTGGTGCTGCCGTGGCTCAGTGTGAGCGCTGGTTGGACTCAGTGGAGAGGAGGGTCGGGCCACATTGCTGGATGTGGTCTTGGTTGCCAGGCAGAGGAGCTGGCACAGAGTGGGGCAGGAAATGAGGGAGCCGTGGAAGGTGTTTGAGCAGAGGAATAAGGGAAGGCCAACCCTCCCTGCATGACTCCAGGAATGACTGTTTTCTGCAAGTTCTCCAAGTTGGAGGAAGCACCGGGTCAGGCTTGAGAAAGATCCAGAGGGCCTGGGTAGCTGCCGGGGCTACAATCCTCAAAGCTCCAGGGAGCCAAGGCAGACGTGGGTGCCTGAGTTGAGGACAGAGCAAAGCTTGGGACCCTGAGAGATTCTGTTCCATGGGGATTTCCATCCAGCAGATGAGCTAAGGGGCCCGCAGGCATTTCGGAGGGATCACATTAGGAGTTCAGAGTTGAGGGAGCTCGGATGGGGCTGGGGGCTGAACCTGGAAGGCCAGCAGGGCCTTGGGAGCCAGGTTTAGGGCTTCAAGGGGCAGGTCTCTGCTGGCCTGACCCAGCCCCCTTGCTTCCTCGCAGTGGTACCCTTCCAGGAAGTGTGGGGCCGCAGCTACTGCCGGGCGCTGGAGAGGCTGGTGGACGTCGTGTCCGAGTACCCCAGCGAGGTGGAGCACATGTTCAGCCCATCCTGTGTCTCCCTGCTGCGCTGCACCGGCTGCTGCGGCGATGAGAATCTGCACTGTGTGCCGGTGGAGACGGCCAATGTCACCATGCAGGTAGGTCCATACCCTGCCCAGGGGGCCACCGAATCTGCCCACTAGAAGGTACCTGGAGAGGGAAGAAGATAGGCCCAGGTCCCAGGGCTGGAGCCTGACTCCCAGGCCAGTGCTCCTACCACCCCAGCCCAGGGCCTCTTCTTCCTAAGCCCTCCGATGGCTCTGAGCCCACTCATCTCCACCCCCACCAGCATTCTCAGCCTCACGCTGAGTCCTATCCCAAGACTCAGGGTGTCTAGTTAAAGCTGGAAAGAAATCTGCTTGTATAAAGTCCCTGTTGACACCAGGAGCATTTGGTCCCTTTTCAAGCAAGTGCAGCTTACATGTCACACACGCAGTGGTTTACTGAGCACTTACTGAGTAATGCCAAGCACTGTCCTAGGCGTGCCACAAGTGGTGTGTCATTCAATCCTTCAAGGCTGGTGTCATTCCCATTTCACGGATGGGGAACTCAAGGTTCAGAGATGTTATTTCACTTGTTCAGCAGGTAAAAGAGTCAAGATCTGAACACGGGTCTCTCTGACTCCAGAACATGAGCCCCCTTCCTGTGCTATTGCTGTGCTAGTGCTCCCGGGCAGGGAGGGACAGGGGCCTCCCTCAGATCCCCATGCAGCTGAGAGAGCTGTTTGCCCCACGTTCAGAGTGGAGTGAGGGCCTGTAGTCCACAGGCTAGCAGGAAACAGAGTCGGGTTCTCCTTACAAGGAGAGAGAGAAGAGTGCCGGAAACTCGTGGGCCACTCCCCAATCCAGGCATCAACTCTTTCTTCCTTCAGCTCCTAAAGATCCGTTCTGGGGACCGGCCCTCCTACGTGGAGCTGACGTTCTCTCAGCACGTTCGCTGCGAATGCCGGTAGGTCTCCGGGGTCGGGTGGGTAGCAAGGAAAGGCCCCCGTCCTCTTGGCAGCCTCAGCAAAGATGGGTCCCAGGGCAGAGGCAAAGGCTGCCCATCCCCGCTGCGGGCTGAACTTTTTTCCAGACTGAGGGAGACCAAGAGGGCAGGACCAGGGGTGGCTACCATTCATTTTGTCCCCCCACCAGCCAGTTTTGCCAAGGGAGCTGGTCCCAGCAGCTGGGGTACAGCTGTTGAGATACTGCAAGGGAAGAGAGAGGGTGGGTCCCTCCCAGCCTCGCAGGGGTTCGGTGCGTGTCGTTCCCCTTCTCTGGGATGGGAGGCAGCTGCCACGGGCCTCTGAAAGAGGTGCCTGGAGGCAAAGACATTGCAAGTCTGAACTTCGTTCTGGGGCAAGCTGTGTGCCCACAGGAGCGGGCAAACGGGGCTGAGAAGCAGCAAGAAGGACAAGCTCGGGTAGGAGAAAAGGGGCAGAAGAAGAGTGACACTGTGGCTTCCTTGATGTTGCAGCACCCCTCTACGGCCCCTCCCAATCCACAGAGCCTCTGACCAGCACCAGTCTTGCTGCCTGTGCTGGGGGCACTTGGAACATTGGTTAGCAGGAGCAACAGGCCTGGCACTGCCAGCTAGGTTCAGGGAAGAGAGAAATGGGCTGAGCTGCTGCTCCTGGTACTACTGGGCCATGGATGAAGGCACCAGACTAGAAGTCCAGAGCCCTAGCCAGGGGCGGCAGGAGGGAAGACTACCACTTATTGTGTACCTATTCTGTGCCTAGCCCCGCAGGAGGCACTTGAATGTTTCTCATTTAGTCACATACATTTATTGAGCACCTACCACATGCCAGGCATTGTCCTGATGGGATGCAGTGGTGAGCAAGGTTCCTGCTCTCATAACAACCCTGGGAGGTAGGCCCTATTGTCATCCCCATTTTACAGATGAGAAAATCAAGGCTCAATACAGTTTCATGATTTATCACAGCTAGTGAGTGTGGGAGGAGGGATTCTGGGCCCTGACCTAACTCGTAAGCCTTCGTTTTTCAGGCTACCTTTCATGGCCATGACCACTTTTCTAATAGCCCCCAGGCTTAGCCTTGCCTCCTGGGCAGGGCTATGGCTGCCCCTTTTGTTGGAGTGTTGGAGACCCTGCCTCAACTTGTTTCCACCCATCCCTCCAAGCCAGAGCTTAGCCATATAACAAGAGCTCGGTAATGAACCCTCCTGGGTGCAATGCTGGGTGGTGACCCAGAGTCACCTTCTCCATCCCCTTTGCCCTGACAGCCACTCTTTTGGGGCAGGCAGATGAAGAGACTGAGGTTCCAAGAGTGTCTGTCACTTGCCCAATATGGAGAGGTACAACCAGACAGTCCCAAGAGGCCCTGGTACCTTGCCCTGGCTCCCAAGGGAGGAACCAGCTGAGGGTAGCATGTCCTGGCCCCAAAGCTGACTGCTACCATGCTGTCCCATGTCTCTACCCACTGTTCCCAGTGAAGACTGAGGCCCTATCCCCTGCCAGGGGCCAGGCAACAGGGACACCTTTCTTCTTGCTTCTGGGCCAACAGCCACAGCCCTGGGAGGCAGAGCCCAGACATGCCTGGTGACTTCAGGGCTGATGCTCCCTCCTTCCTCCCACCCCGTCGCTCACTCCCCATGTTGTTCCGGATGGAGTGGGGCTGTGCCCTGACAGGCAGCCAGTCCGCTGTCTGGCCATCATCTCCTGTCCCTGAGGAAATTCCCAGAATGCACCCTGGAAGGAACGGAAAAAAGCAGCAAAGAAAGTGAGAAAGAAAAAGCAACAGAGAACAGACAGAAACAACCAAATTTGATGCCAAGAGGCTGAGAAGTGCAGAAGCGGGTGGCAGGGGTCCCCAGGAGGTTGATTTGTCCCTCTCGTGGTGGGGTCACCAGAGCCTGGAGTGGGAGTGAAGCCTTGAGGCTCTGGCCACCTCTCCCTTGCCAACTCCATGCTACCCCCTAGTGGCCTCAGTGTCAGCTGCAGGACCAGGACTGGGGATGTCGGAGGGGACCTGTCCGGGCGGCAGGGAGCCCCACTTATTGCTTTCCTAACGTTCCTCTGCCCCTCTCTCTGTCTGTTTCCCTAGGCCTCTGCGGGAGAAGATGAAGCCGGAAAGGTAAGTGGTTTGGCTGGGGCTCGGGGCTATTCTCGGGCCTGCCAGCCTCTGTCCTAGCATGGGGTTCCCCAGCCACCTTGTCCTGACGCTTGGCTTATTGCAGGAGGAGACCCAAGGGCAGGGGGAAGAGGAGGAGAGAGAAGCAGAGACCCACAGACTGCCACCTGTGAGTGTGCGGGGTCCCAGGGATGGCGAGGAGGCTGGGCCCGAGGGGAGCCCCGCCTTGCCGCCAGGGTTAGGTTGGGGAGGGGGAGAGGCAGGACTGAGGCCAGTCTTGGGGGCAGAACAGGGAGCTGCACCTCCTCAAGACTCTAGGGCCCAGGAAGCATCAGTGGACCTTGGTTTTTGTCCCGGCTTAGCCCTAGGTTTCCATTGACCTTCAACAAATCATTTCACCTTTGTCAGCCTAGCTTTTCTCTGTGTAGAATGAGGGGCAGGAGGTCCAGCAAACATTCAGTCACTCTACAAACATTTACTGAGCACTTACTGTGTGTCAGGTACATCTGTGAGCAAACAAACAGGATTCCTGCACATTAGTGTTTACCTTTTAGTGATTAAAAGTCTGTCATCAGCTGAGACGTTATCTGGGGCCACTTCCTAGTAGCCCCGGGGAACATGTGCCCCTCGCCACTGTCTCCCAGGAGTATTTTTGCCTGTGGGTCCCCTTGCTGCTTCTAACCCACTTCGTACCTTGTGGGCAGCAGAATGGAGCCCCAGGCCTGAGTGTGGCTGGGAGAGAAGGATGAGAGGAGGGAAAACCCAAATCTGTGAGAGTAAATAGAAAAAATAAAATATTTCACGTGCACAGTCAATCAGTCACTGAAGAGAGGTGGCTCTCCTTCAGGGGCTAAGCCTCCCCCACGCACGTGACTCCAGGAAGTCATTTCGTGCTATGGAGTGGAGTTGACCCAAGCCCTGACCCCATGAGCCCCACTCCATGAAGACAGGGATCCTGGGGACTGCGCCCCCTAGGGGTTTATGCTCTCATCTCTTTTCTGGGCCCGCGCGGCAATTTGGGAAACAAGCTGGCAGGGAAGTCCATCCAGGCCCGAGTTACCCGCCGGCAGCCGGAGGCAGAAAGTGTCCCGTGGCTCCTGTTCCCAAGGCAGCAGTCTTCAGACATTTCACTCGGGAATCTCCTGAAAGAATTTCAAAAGTGGCCGGGCGCAGTGGCTAACACCTGTAATCCCAGCACTTTGGGAGGCCGAAGTGGGTAGATCACTTGAGGTCAGAAGTTCGAGGCCAGCCTGACCAACACGGTGAAACCACATCTCTACTAAAAATACAAAATTAGCTGGGCGTGTTGGTGCATGCCTGTAATCTCAGCTACTTGGGAGGCTGAGGCAGGAGAATCGCTTGAACCCGGGAGGCGGAGGTTGCAGTGAGCCGAGATCACGCCACTGCACTCCAGCCTGGGTGACAGAGCAAGACTCCGTCTCAAAAAAAAAAAAAAAAAGAATTCCAAAAGCCCATGTGCTCCCTTGCCCATTCTTAAGTTGACATTGAACATTTTCATCAGAATTATAAGTCAAGCCAGGCTCAGTACCTCATGCCTGTAATTCTAGCACTTTGGGAGGCCGAGGCGAGTGGATCGCTTGAGGCCAGGAGTTCAAGCCTAGCCGGGGCAACATGGTGAAACCTCGTCTCTACAAAAAAAATACAAAAACTAGCTGGACGTGGTGCCATGTGCCTATAGTCCCAACTACTCAGGAGGCTGAGGTGGAATGATCACCTGAGCCTGGGAGGTCAAGGCTGCAGTGAGCCGAGATAGATCCACTGCACCTCAGCCTGGGTGACAGAGTAAGAACCTGTCTCAAAAAAAAAAAAGTATAAGTCATTACAAAGGATATAATTTCTGGCATATTATTAATATTTTAATACAAAGCTATTGTAGAACACTCTCCAGGTGTATCCTATTAAATACGCCATTTTAATGTTATACTCACCATCATCCACTTTTAAGAAAATGAACAAGCAGGCCAGGCGCGGTGGCTCACACCTGTAATCCCAGCACTTTTGGAGGCCAAGGCGGGCGGATCGCAAGGTTAGGAGATCGAGACCATCCTGGCTAACATGGTGAAACCCCATCTGTACTAAAAATACAAAAAATTAGCCGGGTGTGGTGGTGGGTGCCTATAGTCCCAGCTACTCGGGAGGCTGAGGCAGGAGAATGGCATGAACCCGGGAGGCGGAACTTGCAGTGAGCCGAGATCACGCCACTGCACTCCAGCCTGGGACAGAGCAAGACTCCGTCTCAAAAAAAAAAAAAGAAAATTAACAAGCAAAAAAAAAAAAAATACAGGAACACTTCCTTTCATAATTATATATTTACATTGTTTCTTTTTTCCTGGAACTTGTATTTCCATTTCACTCCCCACCCCCAAGAATTTCAGCCTAGTGTAACAGTACTTTTAATTTTCAGAAGTCTTTTATTGATTACCTTGTCATATTTATCTGCCACAAAAAAATGATATATGAGTTTGAATTATTTTAAATTTCCTGTGAGCATAAACCTAAATTAAATTTTCTCCTGGAATAAATTATCAAAATAATTCTTAGTAGCACCATTTGGTCAAAACAGCACAAATACTTCCTATTTTAATAGATGTTCAACATAAAAATACAATCAATTTGATTGGGAATGCATCTCAATGAGATGGATGTGGCTACCTCGTTTCAATTAGTGAATGAATCCATTAATGAATGTTACTTCCTGCCAGACTGAGACAGGATTCTGCATTAATTTAATTCCTGTTTATCATTTTTTTATTGATGAGAAGGTTGAGAAACCATGTTCACATAAATAAGTAAATGAGACTAGATGTCACTCAATTACTTGAACTCCTTCCTTCCAAGTTATTTGCCAGAAATCTCAAGGTGCTCTGCTAAGAACAAATTACTTCTCATGATATCCTGGCTGACAATTTGGTTAAGCTGTTCTTCAGTTTTGTTGAAAGCCTTGGTTACCCAGTCATTAGCCATATTTTCTTTCTCAAGACCTACATCAATATCTCAAATTGTTCTTTTTTTCATGTCCTCAGAATACTTTTACCTGGCAGCAAAGCACTTTATGAGGATTTAGAATGAGCAAGATGTGTTGTGGCCAGAGAAGCAGATCTCAGCCACTGCCTCACAAAAATAATTTTAAGGCAATGTAGACCTGGAGGCTGAAAATGGATTTCTTTAAAACCGTCAGTACTCAGGCCTCACGTGCGTCTAGCGGTACTCCCCTGTTTGGAGACTGCTGTCTTAGGGTAATCAGAGGCATGATTGCATGGAGTGTGATTAGGTTCAAATGTGGCTCTGTCACCGACTGGCCGTGTGACCACAGGCAAGCTTCTTCACCTCTCTGGGCCTCAGTTTCCTAATCTTCACAAGAATAATCAGGGTGCCTTCCTCATGGAAGGTTGTTGAGGGTTAAGAAGACAGTGCTTGGCACAGGGCTGGGCACATGGGTAAGTGTTTGGTGAAGGGTAGCTCCCAGCTTCTCCTCAGCTTGAAGCAAGCAGGGACCCAGGAGCACTGCGCCCTCCCCATGCTCCCTGCCCAAGCTCCTCCTCTGGGCCTGCCCCCTCCTCCATAGGAGGAGACCGCACCCTCCACAGTGTGCTGATACCCGCCCCGTCTGTGCTTGGTCTCTGGCAGGTGCGGCGATGCTGTTCCCCGGAGGTAACCCACCCCTTGGAGGAGAGAGACCCCGCACCCGGCTCGTGTATTTATTACCGTCACACTCTTCAGTGACTCCTGCTGGTACCTGCCCTCTATTTATTAGCCAACTGTTTCCCTGCTGAATGCCTCGCTCCCTTCAAGACGAGGGGCAGGGAAGGACAGGACCCTCAGGAATTCAGTGCCTTCAACAACGTGAGAGAAAGAGAGAAGCCAGCCACAGACCCCTGGGAGCTTCCGCTTTGAAAGAAGCAAGACACGTGGCCTCGTGAGGGGCAAGCTAGGCCCCAGAGGCCCTGGAGGTCTCCAGGGGCCTGCAGAAGGAAAGAAGGGGGCCCTGCTACCTGTTCTTGGGCCTCAGGCTCTGCACAGACAAGCAGCCCTTGCTTTCGGAGCTCCTGTCCAAAGTAGGGATGCGGATCCTGCTGGGGCCGCCACGGCCTGGCTGGTGGGAAGGCCGGCAGCGGGCGGAGGGGATCCAGCCACTTCCCCCTCTTCTTCTGAAGATCAGAACATTCAGCTCTGGAGAACAGTGGTTGCCTGGGGGCTTTTGCCACTCCTTGTCCCCCGTGATCTCCCCTCACACTTTGCCATTTGCTTGTACTGGGACATTGTTCTTTCCGGCCAAGGTGCCACCACCCTGCCCCCCCTAAGAGACACATACAGAGTGGGCCCCGGGCTGGAGAAAGAGCTGCCTGGATGAGAAACAGCTCAGCCAGTGGGGATGAGGTCACCAGGGGAGGAGCCTGTGCGTCCCAGCTGAAGGCAGTGGCAGGGGAGCAGGTTCCCCAAGGGCCCTGGCACCCCCACAAGCTGTCCCTGCAGGGCCATCTGACTGCCAAGCCAGATTCTCTTGAATAAAGTATTCTAGTGTGGAAACGCTGATCTAGTGGGTGTGTCTTCCGGGGCAGTGAGCGTCAGCCGGGAACGGAAGCCAGACAGACCCAGGGATCGGGGTGTAACAGGAAGAGCACAGCACCTTCTCCGAGCCTCAGTTTCCTTATCTCAAAAGCCTCGCTCAGTCGACGAGAGGGCATGTCACAGCTCACGACAACATGTTAGCTTGCTCCTTCCTTCCTCCTTTTGACAGCTGAGGACACTTAGGCCCAAGAAGGTGAAATGGCTGATGGAGAGTTAAGAGCACTGAAGCGGGGGTCAGAGGCCTGGCTTTGTCTATAACTCACCGAGTGGCACTGGGCTTCCCTCTGCCTTCACGTTTCATCTCTGACCTGAGGGGCCTGGCTAGATGGCTCTTCTGGCTTTGACACATTTCTACTGGGGCCCAGGCTCAAGTCTCGGTGGCCCTGGGTGGTCACTGGAGACTGTTCCTGTGGAGGCCACTTCAAGGCTGCCCCGGAGGTCGCCCAACCTGCTTCTACAGCACCCTGGGGTCGCCCCTTCCCTAACGAGGAGCTCCCAAGATGTAGTTTTGTTTCCAAAGTTGAGGAGAGGCTGGTCCCAGCCACTTTTTAACAGCATCAAGAGCACAATCTCCTCCTCTCCCAGGGCTTAGGGCTGCCCCAGCCCAGTGCCGCAAGGACTCCCGAACTCCTCCGGCCCTCCTGATAGACATCCTGGGCTGGGTCTCAGGGCGCTGAACGGCAGCACGTATAGCCTGCTCGGGCTGCTGAACAGACGCAAGGACCAGCAGATGCTGCCCGGATTTCTCTGCCTTTTACCCCCCAGTTCCTTCCGTCTTCCTCCTCAGTGCTTTGGCAGGAAAAAAATAAATCTTCTTATTATTTTTTAATGGTTTTTTTTTTGAGACGGAGTCTCCTTCTGTCGCCCAGGCTGGAGTGCAGTGCCACAATCTCGGCTCACTGCAACCTCCACCTCCCAGGTTCAAGCGATTCTCCTGCCTCAGCCTTCTGAGTAGCTGGGATTACAGGCGTGCGCCACCATGCCCGGCTAATTTTTGTATTTTTAGTAGAGACAGGGTTTCACCATGTTGACCAAGCTGGTCTTGAACTCCTGACCTCAAGTGATCCACCCGCCTCAGCCTCCCAAAGTGCTGGGATGACAGGCATGAGCCACCATGCCAGGCCTATTTTTTTTTTAATCCAAACCACTTACTATCAAACTCCACTCTGCTTCTGACCTGCAAGGGGTGTGTGTGTGTGTGTGTGTGTGTGTGTGTGTGTGTGTGTGTGTCTGTGTGTCTGTGTCTTTGATGTTATATGCTGCTATATGTATTGGGGGAAGAGAAGTTCCCCCATTCTCTCCTCAGCCTCACTTCCTCATTTGAGGCTGCTGAGGAGAAACCCACAGGGACCCAGGGGCACAGGGGCCTGCCTGGGGCTTTGAGGGGAGCTGGGGATGTCCAGCGGAGTGGGGTGGCCCTGCTGAGGCAGCTGTCCTTGGTGCCCTGTTCACCGAGGCCTGGGGACTCTGCAGGACACGCTGGTCAGAATGTGCTTCTGGCTGTGGTCATAGACGGGTGTGAGTCAGCCCCAGGAGACATACTTTGCCAAAGAAATGCACTTCCTCTCCTGCCTCTCCTCTCTTTAGCTGCAGCTGTTCTGAGCTGTTGCCTTTGACCCACTGTGAACTGGGAAGAGCACCCATCCCCTCCCACTGGCCAGGCCTCTAGCTCAGCCCTGAGGACCCCAACCCAGGCCCGGTAGCATCTTCAAGGCTTTTGGCTCCATAAGGTCACCCACATGGCGGGCAGCCTCCCGACCCAGGCCAGTGACCCCTGTAGAGAGCAAGACAGAAACCAGAAAAGCTCCTGGAAGCCAGAAGCAAAACTCCACATCCGTGGGCAGGAGCCTCGCAGCAGGAATGGGTAGGAAGGAGCCAGCTGGCCTACTTGACTATATTGGCAGCCGTTCCAGCCATTTAGGTCCTAGAGGGATTTGCTTGTCATCTATTTGTGGAGCACCCTCTGTGTCCTAGACACTGACTAGGCATCCAGGATCCAGTGGGGACAGACACACAGGACCCTGCTCTCGTGGACCACACATGCGAGGGGAGAGACAGCCCATGCTCTAGTGCCAGAGGGTACTGGGTGGGCCTTTTCTGCTGCTCGAATGGGTGGCCGGACTCAGAGCTAAGGAAAAAGGGCCTTGAGTACCCCATATTCTAAAACAAAGGAACCATTTGAGACTAGGCCCATTTGCCTACAGGATTTATTAAGAGATGGTTAAAGCAATTCTGCTATGCCCCCAAATCTCCCAGCACCCCCTTCCTCAGTCTCCATAAGCAGAAGACCAGGACAGGGGAAGGAAGAGAGAGGGAGATGGGTCACTGGAGTCCTGGGGTGCTGACTCCCTCCCCTCCTCTCCCTGGATCTGGATTTGCTGTTGAGATCAGCCCACGCGCCATCTGGACAGGGAGGTTGGGGGAGGGCAGGATTGAAGAGGCAGAGACAGACAGGGCAGGGACTCCTTGGGGCACCCAGCAGTCGTTGCCCATGGGTCAGGTGGACATGGCGGAAGGTGCATGTCCTTGAGCTGTCTTGTCCATGTCCTCCCAAGAGGGAGGCCTGCAGCTGTGCAGACCCACAGTCGGTAGGCTGTTGGGTGGAGGTTGGGGCAGTGGCTGAGTGGTGGGGTGAGAGATATAGAGCTGAAGGGACCTCTCACATCAGGGAACAGTGGTGCGAGGTGGCCCTGTGGTGAACCCACAAGAGAGTTAGCATCTGAACGCCATCATGCCGGGAACATTCATAGCCAGAGAAGAAATGGCCACAGCTGACAGGGACTTTCCTGAAAGCTCTCCCTCCCCATCTGTGTGAAAGAAGAGAAAAGGGGAGAGAAAAGGAGGAGGAGAGAGAGAGAGGAGTGGGGGTACAGGGGCAAACTACACCCCTCCCCACTCCCCTGGGCCAAATCCAGACCCTGCCTGGGGAAGGGAAATGGTTAGTCTTGGTTAGATGGACCAGCCTAGATGGGGCTGGGCCTTTAATAAGCTAAAGCAACAGGAATACTAGAAGATCTGCCCAAGATACTGTTACGGGACAGAAAAAGGAGAACCAACATAGTTCATCTAGAAGCAATGATGGAAGGGGGAAAAAAACTTGCTCAATAAGCAAGTTACCCATATAAACAAATACATTAATAAGAAAATGTCTTGCTGCCAAAATGCGTTCTCTCATATTAGAGATGCTCTTGAATTATTTTACATTCCTCCTCTTAAGAGGTGAAGTGTCTTCCCTCTGTTTGAATCTGAATTGGCCTGGGTCTGCGTTGATCAGTAGACTATAGCAGAAGAGACCCTATACTTGTTTCAAGTCTAGCTTTCAAGAGGACTGGCAGCTTCTGCCTTGGTCTGTTGGAACCCTATGCTATCATGTAAGATGTCCAACTACCCTGAGGTCACCATGTTGGAAGGAAGCTCAAGCTGGCCGTATAGAGATGTGGAAAAAGAGAGAGAGAGAGAGACTCAGCCAACCCCAAGCTATTCCAACCCGCAGCCATTACAGTTATCTTAGCAGATGCCCCAGATCTTACAGAGCAAAGACAAGCTGTATCCACTGTGCCGTTTGATTTCCTTGATGCACAGAAACATAAAATACTATAATAACAAATTGTTTTGAGGTAGTTTGTTATGCAGCAATAAGAAACCAGAACAGAAAATAAGGAAAGGTGAAGAGATAGCGTTGGGGGGAAGGTACTCTAGGTCAGGAGGTTATGGATGGCATCTCTGTGGAGATGACATTGATGGTAAAGTTTGAAGGACAAGAAGGAGTTGGTCATGTAAAGATCAGGGATAAGAGCACTCCAGAGGGCACAGCTGGTGGAAAGTGCTGGAAGGAACCCCAGTGTGGCTGGAGCATGATGGGCAGGGAGGGGGGATATGGGATGTGATGTTGGAAGTAGCCAGGGGCCAGACCATAAAGGGCTTTGCAAGTCAGGGTAAGGAGTTCAAATTTTGTTATAATGTGAGATAAACCACTGCAGAGTTTCAAACAGGGGAATGAAATGACATTAGATACATTTTTTTCTTTTTGAGACAGGGTTTCACTCTGTCACCCATGCTAGAGTGCAGTGGCACAATCTCCGCTCACTGCAGCCTCCACCTGCCGGGTTCAAGCGATTCTCATGCCTCAGCCTCCTGAGTAGCTAGGACTACAGGTGCACACCACCACACCTGGCTAATTTTTGTGTTTTTATTAGAGACAGGGTTTTGCCATGTTGGCCAGGCTGGTCTCAAACTCCTGACCTCAAGTGATCCACCCACCTCAGCCTCCCAAAGTGTTAGGATTACAGGCGTGAGCCACCACACCCAGCCATTAGGTACATTTTTGAACAATCACTCCACCCACTATGTGGAAAATGGTCTCTAGGAGTGTAAAACTTAGAGTACAAATACCACTTCAAAGGCTGTGGAGAAGCCAGGCAACCAATTATGGTGGTTTGGTCTAGGGAGAAGTAACAAGGATAGAGAGAAGTAGATTGTTTGGTCTTAATCATGCACGTGGGCTGGTAACCCTGATCATTTATTCACTCATGAGCATTTTTTGAGTCTACAAGGCCTAGGTATTTTGTAGTAGATACATGTATGACAGGGCAAAGTATATTAGCAAGCAAAAGTCTTCCCTACCTACTAAAGAAAATTCTATTCTGCAATAAATAAGGGGAATAAGGAGAGAGATCACAGCTGGAGGGCTAAGCTGGTCTACCTAACAGCTAGGAAAGAGAAAGCAAGCAGGTAGGCAGAGGGAAATAAAAGGCCTCGGGGCTGGGACTAGAGAAGGAGTTTGGGGTTTTGCTGTGGAGTCTCTATTGATATAAGACAGTTTGAGAAGGGCTTTGAGGAAGCACTGTCATGCTCCCTAACATTGCAGGCCCGAATGTTCTTTGAGAGACGCCCACTCAGTGAGACACTAGGCAGAGACTGAACCCAGGGGAGCACCTCGATTAGCTAGGGTTACGCAGAGAGAAATAAGACATTGTCGCTGACCTTAAAAAGTTCGTCAGCGGAATCAGATATACACAGGTGATTAGAATAGAAGGAAAGCAGGCCATGTAGCTAAAAGAATGCAGCTGAAGAGCTGCTAAAGCCACCTGAGATGACCTGCAGCTGGGGAACATCAGAACTGGCTTTGCAAAGCTGGTGGCATTTGAGCTGTGACTTGAAGAGTAGGCAAGATTTGGGTCTGGGGAGATGACTGGGGAAGCCATTCTAGGTGGAGGCAACCCATTAACAAAGACCCCAGAGCTGGCAAAACCCCTACCTGTACAGGGACTCTCCAGCGGTTCAGTTTGGCTGATGCTTAAGGCAGGTGAATCAGAGGGTGATGGCTAAGGCTGGTAGGCGGGCTGGGCCCCGGGTGCCATGCTGGGGAGTTAGGGCTGTGCTAGGCTGCAAGAGGCATGTTTTTTAAACAATAACGTGGCCGGGCACAGTGGCTCACGCCTGTAATCTCAACACTTTGGGAGGCCAAAGCGAGAGGATTGCTTTGGCAATGAATTGAGGTCTTTACAAAAAAATTTTAAATTATGGCCGAGCATGGTGGCTCACGCCGTAATCCCACCACTTTGGGAGGCCGAGGCAGGTGAATCACTTGAGCCCAGGTGTTTGAGACTGGCCTGGGCAACATGGTGAAATCCCATCTCTACAAGAAATACAAAAATTTGCTGGGCATGGGGCTACAAGCCCCAGCTACTCAGGAGGCTGAGGCTGGAGAATCTCTTGAGCCTGGGAGGTGCAGGTTGCACTGAGCTGAGATCGCGCCACTACACTCCGGCTTGGGTGACAGGGTGAGATGCCATCTTAAATTAAAATTAAAAAAAAAAATTAGCCAGGTATGGTGGTGCACACCTGTAGTCCCAGCTACTTGGGAGACTGAGGCAGGAGGATTGCTTGATCCCAGGAGTTTGAGGCTGCAGAAAGCTATGATGTCACTGCACTCCAGCCTGGGCAACAGAGTGAGACCCTGTCTCTAAAAAAAAAAAATTAGAAATTAAACAATAATATGATATGATCATGGAATTTAGGGCTGAAAGAAAGTTTACAAATAATCCATTTCCACCTCCTCATCTTACAAATGAAGGAGCTGAGGCCCAGGCTGGTCCAAAGCCATGTAAGTTAAGCGAGTCAGAATTTAAAACTGTACCATAAGTGACTGACGTGGAATTGAATCCGAAGCCTGTGCTCACTGCCCCTCACCACCTCACCTCCTCTTGAGGATGGAGAGAGAGAAGGGCAGTGGGGCGGTAGGGAAGTGAGCTGGGTCCGCTCCCAGTCTGAGAGGCGGGCCAGACCATCTGCGGGTGGATTGGGTGGGTCAGCAGAAGAGGCCCCTATGAAAACTCTGGTGGGAACTCGAGGCCCCAGACAGGGTGGTGACAGGCCAGAGCCTTGGTGTGGAAAGATGGCCGTCTGTCAGCACCAGATCCCAGCAGCTGTTTCCCTAAAGAAGCCGGACCCTTCCTTTTCCTGAGGGAAGCCTGGGGCGCTCTCCTTCCCCCTGACCTTGGCTGTGACTGAGGCCGAGGAGGCCCCACCTCAGAGGCTCCAGGCCAAAAAGATGGTTCTTTTCTAGTCCCTGAGGTAACTTTGTGACCGTGGAAACCCTCGAGCAGGCAGGTCAGGCCGGGAGGAAGTTGAGGGCTCCCTCGCAGAGGTGGGTTCCCCGAGAGGTGTCGCCTGGGTGGCGGGAGAGGGTGCTGCCATTCTAGTAACTTCTCCCTGCACCACTCTCTGCAAGGTTGTTCCACTCCCTGTCCTCAGTGGCCTCTCCACCGCCACCCCCAGCCCTCGGTCTTCCCCTTCTCCTTCTCTCTTCTCTGAGGCCCTGCCCCCACACACCCAGCCTGGGCCACCCAAGAGTCACCACGTGGGCCACAGCGCTGGGTGTTTCCAGACATGGGCCACCTGACGTCCTCAGCGGGGGCCTAAGGCTTGGGCTGTAACAGCAGTACCCTCCCTCCTCCTCTCCCTTTCAAAGCCCTCTCTGCCACAAGCCTCTCCTGGGGCCTGCGAAGCCCTCTCACTTGCCAGACACGCTGGAAAGAAGTCCTGCGAGGGTGAGAAATCTGCCCGAGGAATTCCAGCCTCTCGGAGGAGGTGGCGGCTGACAGCTGGCCATGGCTGCTGTGCGGAGAAGCTGAAGTTGAGGTCTTGGGTTCACAAGGGGTGCCAGGCACGTCAGGGTCCAACCTGGGGGGGTGCTGCAAGTCCCCATGTCAGAACCTGGGGTGCACCCTGGAGCTGTCGCTCCTGGATTAGCCGGAAATACAGCTTCTCTCCAGACATGGGAGAGGCAAAGGAGGTCACAGGACTTTCCTCTCACATCCAAACCCAGGAGGCTCTGGGTGCCTGGGATCCTTCTTAGGAACCAGCCCTGGCCAGTCAAGATGAGCTCCAGCAGCGGAGAAGACACACAGGCTGCTCTACTGAGACCTTCCTCTTTGTGTGTATATAGAGCTATCTGCCCTTCCCCTTCTTCCCCCTAGAATAAAACATGCCCACCCTCTTAGGAAAAGACTAATTGGTATGTGGCTATGATATCAAGTGACTCTTAGAACCAATTATAAACCTGGTTTATATGGCCATGTGTTTCAGTAACTGTGCTGCTGAAACTATGCACTCAATCAGGACTAGCCCCACGCTTCTGAAAATAACCAGTCGGCAACAGCTGCATGCCAATGACTGTGCCAAAGATCAACCAGCACACGTTGACCCATCCTTAAACCACACACTTCCCAAAACCTGTATGGGATTAATTCTCTGCTTTGCTCAGAGATACGCTGTGCCTTGCAAGTACAGCTGTCCCTTGCTTAAGCATGCAGTAAATTCAGCCTGTGGTTTCAGATAATGAGTGGTTACACCTTTCTTCAATACCCCCCCAAAAAATCTGTCTTATAATCTATCACAAATTTTCCAAAATCCAAAGAATGAGCAACACTTTGTTTTTTCCAGCTTTGGTACAAAATTGGGGCCAGAAACTCCTCCCCCTGGTCTCCCTCTCTCTGATCCCTCTGCCCTCCTCCCAGGACCCAGCTCCCTCCTGGGAGATTGTGGTGGACCCTCGTGTGTCCCCACGTGGAGCACCTACAAAACAAATACATTTCCTTTTTGATAAAGTGGATCACATCTCTTGGCATAATTTTTATTATGGTGCATTATATCCAAAGACCCCACTACCACCATCACCACCAAGGATGAAGACAGGGAAGAAAGGAACAGATGAAGGAGACACCCTGTCACATATACTCAACTCCCCATACCAAAATGGGATCGTAATACATTTGTTATTTTATAACTTGCTTCCTAAACTTAACATATGATACACTGGCCAGGTGTGGTGGCTCATGCCTGTAATCCCAGCACTTTGAGAGGCCGAGGTGGGTGGATCACCTGAGGTCAGGAGTTCAAGACCAGCCTGGCCAACATGGTGAGACCCCATCTCTACTAAAAAAAAAAAAAGAAAAGAAAGAAAGAAAAATTAGCCGGGCATGGTGGCGGGTGCCTGTAATCCCAGCTACTCAGGAGGCTGAGGCAGGAGAATTGCTTGAACCTGGGAGGCGGAGGTTGCAGTGAGCTGACATCACACCACTGCACTCCAGCCTGGACAAGAAGAGCAAAACTCTGTCTCATACATACGGAGTTGTATTTCCCTTCTGCTACAATATGATTTTTAAGTCTTGAGTTGTATTGCATCATTTGGATATCCCATAATTTGATTAAAGGGTCTATTGTTGGATATGTAGGTCCTCTTTTTTTGGTGTTGTTTTAATAAATAATACTGTGATAAACATCCTTGTGGATATGACTCTGTGTGAAGAGGTTTTTCCCATCACAGAAATAGGAATGGCAGCAAAAAAAATCAAACCCATTCTTCCTCCAGGTGCCTTTCTATCCCGGTCTTGTGCTTTAGAGCAACATGTTTTGAAAGAGATGTGTACACTTTCAGTCTCTTTCTTGGCAGTTCCACTCACTACTGTAACGCAGCCCCTGCTAAAGTGACTCTAGGGACCTCCCTGGTGCCGATCAGCATTTTCCATTTTCATCTTACTCAGCAGCACGTGTGGCTCTTAGAATATGCTCCCAGTCCTTTCCTCAGCCTGGAAGATCCCATGAAGTCTGATCCCTGTCCTCCTTTGCAGCCCTGTCTCTTGCCATGCCGCCTCTTTCTCTAAGGGCCAACACACTTGTCTTTTTCTCAGTTTCTGGAATCTGTAGTGCCCCTCAGGACCTTTGCTCACACTGTTTCCTCTGCCCGGAAATCCCTTCCCCCTCCCACACCCAATCCCTCAACTCTGTTGACTAACAGACACACATCATCTGTAACTCAGCTAAAAGGTGCTTCCTCAGGAAAGCCTCCCAAACACTCCTCTGCATCACGTTGGGTCTGGTCCACCACTAGAGACTTAGGGAACTCCGTCTACTCCCTTACAGCTCTCCTCACTATATTATGAAAAATAAGTACATAATCCCAAAACTATATTCAATAATTTTTTTTTTAAAGAAAACAAGGTTTTACAGGCTGGGCGCTGTGGCTCATGCCTGTAAACCCAGTACTTTGGGAGGCTGAGGCGGGTGGATCACTTGAGGTCAGGAGTTCAAGACCAGCCTGGCCAACATGGCGAAATCCTGTCTCTACTAAAAATACAAAAATTAGCCAGGCATGGTGTTGCGCACCTGTAATCCCAGCTACTGGGGAGGCTGAGGCAGGAGAATCACTTGAACCCAGGAAGCAGAGGTTCCAGTGAGCCGAGATTGCACCACTGCACTCCAGTCTGGGTGACAGAGCGAGATTCTATCTCAAAAAAAAAAAAAAAAAAAGAAAACAAGAAAACAAGGGCTTGCGACATTGCCCAAGCTGAATGCAAACTTCAGAGATCCTCCCACCTCAGCCTCTCGCCTCAGCCTCCCGCTTCAGCCTCTTGCCTCAGCCTCCTGCCTTAGCCTCTCGCCTCAGCATCCCACTTCAGCCTCTTGCCTCAGCCTCCCACCTCAGCCTCTCACCTCAGCCTCCCGCTTCAGCCTCTCGCCTCAGCCTCTCACCTCAGCCTCTTGCCTCAGCCTCTCAAGTAGCTGGGACTACAGGTTTGAGCCACCACACCTAGCTATTCCATATATAATTTTTTAAAAGTAATTTTAACATTAGAAATTATATGCCAATATACTTTACTGTTTAAAAGCATAGAACAACTACAGGTGTTACAAAGCTCTAACTGACCGCTGCCCACTCTATTCCCCAAGAGGTCCCTTCCCCCACTCCCTGGAGAACTCCTCTGTTAGGGGCTTAATGTAATCAGTATAGTGGTCCAAACTTGGGTTCTGGAGCCAAACTGCTAGGGTTGGATTCCTAGCACTCCCAGTTCCTAGCTGTGTGAGCTTAATCAAGTTACTTAACCTCCCAGAGTCTCAGTTTTATCATCTGTAAAGATTAATAATAATAGCTAATAGTGTGGTTTTAGGATTTCAGTAAAGCCAGGCACAGTGGCTCAAGTCTGTAATCCCAGCACTTTAGGAGGCTGAGGCGGGCGGATTGCTTGAGGCCAGGAGCTCAAGACCAGCCTGGGCAACATGGCAAAACCCCGTCTCTACTAAAAATAACAAAAATTAGCCAGGCGTGGTGGCACATGCCTGTAATCCCAGCTACTCAGGAGGCTGAGGCAGGAGAATCGCTTAAACCTGGGAGGCGGAGGTTACAGTGAGCCGAGATCATGTCACTGCTCTCCAACCTGGGCAACAGAGTGAGACTGTCTCAAACAAAACAAAAGAAAACACACACCCAGAATGTCTGAAGTGGCTGTTAAATTACTCCTCCCTTTTCCAGCTACATCTCTGTGTGAGGCCGGATTTTCTTCACCTACTTCAACCAGAACAACTCATCACAGCAGACTGAACACAGAAGCAGATATGACAGCACAGCGGTCTTCTATCCCTAAGGTCAGCATTAAAGAGGTTTTCAAAAAGGAAAATAATTCTACTCCTGTCACCAAATACTTTTAAAATATTTTCATAAAACATTCATGTTACCATATGTTGGATTTCTTGTTATTTTTAAATAATGAAATATCCTTAAATGTCTTTTATAATACACTAAATATCAATAGAAATAACGCAGATAAACAAAGGCTCTGTGTTGATGAGACCAAAAAGTTAGAGAACTGCTTCTTTCAAGTCTATGTTGTTTACCAAGAAGCAACCCAGAAATTATTTCAGTTACTTTAGCTACTGAAATGAATATCCCTTAAGAGTGAAAAACGGCTGGGTGCGGTGGCTCACACCTGTAATGCCAGCACTTTGGGAGGCTGAGGCAGGAGGATCACAGGGTCAGGAGTTCGAGACCAGCCTGACCAACATGGTGAAACCCGTCTGTACTAAAAATACAAAAATTAGCAGGGTGTGGTGGTGCACACCTGTAATCCCAGCTGCTCAGGAGGCTGAAGCAGGAGAATTGCTTGAACCCAGGAGGCAGAGGTTGCAGTGAGCCAAGATCGCACCACTGCACTCCAGCCTGGGCAACAGAGCAAGACTCCATCTCAAAAAAAAAAAAAAAGGAGTGGAAAACATCTCAGAATCTTACTAGGTGGGACCATGGTTTCCTGCCAGTCCCTGTCACAAAGCTCTCTGTGACATGGGGAAGGAAATTCCTCCTGAGTTCTTGAGGTCGTGCTGTGGTGCCCACAGTGTGTGATGGCTCACTCGGTCTTAGGCCAGTTAAGCTATGAATTTGTAGATCTTTTTAGATTGTCCTTCAAATTTAATTATTAGATTTGTAAACATTCTGCCTTCCTTTCGTGAAGTATTTTCTAAAAACCATGAAGCACTTTAAACTTCATTTGATTTTGACAATTCCCCTATTACCTATTCTGAATTACCTGGACACTAAGAAAGGTGGCCATGGAATGTTTAAGACCACTTAGTCAGAAAGTCTGTTTAAAATTCTGGTGTCAGGCAAGTACTTTGTAAAGAAAATAGAGATGGTGAAATTATTGCAGCTGTTCTAGTAGGATGCAAATACAGCAGCAATGCAGCTGCATGAAGATTAGTGCTGCACTGTCCTGATAGCCAGTACAACCAGCAGATCAGAAACATGAAAATGTGAATGGCGGCCAGGTACAGTGGCTCACGCCTGTCATCTCGCCACTTTAGGAGGCTGAGTGGGGAGGATCACTTGAGCCCAGGAGTATGAGACCAGCTTGGGTAAATCACAAGACCCCCGTCTCTACAAAGAAGTTTAAAAAGTAGCTGAGCATAGTCCCAGCTACTGTGGAGGCTGAGGTGGGAGGATGGCTTGAGCCCAGGAGGTCGAGGCTGCAATGAACTGAGATTGCGACACTGCACTCCAGCCTGGACGACAAAGCAAGAACTTGTCTCAACAAAACAAAACAAAAACCCACAAATCCTGCATTTCTGGACCTACAGATTCGCTTCCTGCACCCACAGACATGGGGCACTTGCTCTTCCTGCTGCTTCCATGCCCTGCAGTTGTGCTGGGGCATGAGATGCAGCTTTATTTCCTGTCATCTCTGTGTTCTGTTTCCTGGGTTTTCAACACACATCGTATGTTTCACTGACACAGTTTGGATTTGTTGCCATTGAGCATACAGGTTTCCTTTGGGTAGATATATTGTTTAATGAAAAAAATCAAGGTTCAATACAGTGTATAATATGCCCAGGAAAAATGGGAAGAATTGATTGACTGAGCCCCAGTAAATTGATAACTGCACCTGGTAGTGGGTCCTGGAGGCACAGAATAGGATACAGACTTCCCTGCACACCCTTTAGAGGGTGTGGATATTTTTTATTTACATTTATTCTCCTTTTTAGTTTGTTTTGCTATGAAATATTTCATATATATAAAATAATACAGGCCGGGTGAGGTGGCTTAAGTCTGTAATCCCAGCACTTTGGGAGGCCGAGGCAGATGGATCACCTGAGGTCAGGAGTTCGAGACCAGCCTGGCCAATATGGTGAAACCCTGTTTCTACTAAAAATAATACAAATATTAGCTGGGCGTGGTGGCGGGAGCCTGTAATTCCAGCTACTTGGGAGGCTGAGGCAGGAGAATCTCTTGAACCCCGGAGGCAGAGGTTGCAGTGAGCCAAAATCACGCCATTGCACTCTAGCCTGGGCGACAAGAGCAAAACTCTGTCTCAAAATAATAATAATAATAATAGTACGATGTTTACATAGGCCTAAATATTAATAAAAGAATAAAAGTTTTTAAAATATAGATATAAATATAAATGGCATCATATTGTAGGTGGCACTTAGGAGCTGACTTTTTTTACTCAGGAATATGCTTTTGAGATCTGTACATGTTCATGCACATAGATTTGGTTCAGTTTCATTGTTTTAAAATGCTGAAAATAATAATTTAATATATGAATATCCCACATGTTATTAACTTCATATTGATATTACTTATGATATTATGTTTGGAATTTATTCCATTTCTTAATATTGCAAGCAATGTTGCCATAAATATCCATATATATTCTTATGTATCTGGGCAAGCATTTTCCTAGATTAAATATCTAGAAGTAGAATTGATAGATTATGTGTGCAGGTTGAGCATCCCTAATCTGAAAATCCAAAACCCAAAATGCTCAAAAATCTGAAATATTTTGAGCACAGACATGACACCACCAGTGAAAAATTCCACACTTAACCTCATGTGATGGATAGCAGTCAAAACACTCAAGGACCACCTGTAATCCCAGCACTTTGGGAGGCCAAGGCAAGAGGATCGCTGGGCTCACCAATTGTTGCTGTTGAGTTTTCCAGGTGGATGATCGCATCACCAGAAACTATGGCAATTTGGCCTCTTCCTTTCCAATCCTTAAACCTCTTGCTTGTCTTTAAATTTTTATTGCATTAGTTGTAACTTCCAGTACATTGTAGAAGAGTAGAAGCATTGATTCATTTCTGACTGCATTGGATGTAACATTCAGGATAGGTCAAGGTATATTACAGTAACAAACGATCCCAAAATCTAGTGGCTTAACACAATAGAAATTTATTTCTCACTCACATTTCATGTCCAACACAAGTCTTAGGGCTGAGGAGGCATCCATTTATTGTTTCTCAGGGATCCAGGCTAATTGAGGCTCTGCACCTCCATGGTCAGCTACTTCCAGGATCACTAAGGCAGGAGGAACAAGCTTTGGGAGCTTCCACCCTAAAGCAACATGTATTCTGTTCACTAGCATTTCAAAGCAAGTGCCATGGCCAAGCCTAACTTCTAAAGCGGTAGAGGAGTAGGACCCTTCCAGATACCAGAAAAACAGTCGGACCGTGGCAATGTTTCCAATGCTGCACCATTACAAATGGTGTTTGCTCTAAGTTTCTGGTAGATAACACCTTATCAAGTTAAGAAGTACGTTCATGAGTTTGTTCAGTTTGTTAAGCAAGTTAAGAGGTTGTCTTTATCGTGAATGCATGTTGACTTTTATCAAATGACTTTATGCCATCTGTTTGATGAGCAAATGCTGTTTTTTCTCCCTTAGTTTGTTAAGGCATTTATACATATTGTTTCTCCTCCCCGAACATTTCCTTCCACTGCCCTCTCTAACCACTTTTCCTGGTTAATTCCTTCTCATCCTTTAGTGTTCACTCATTCATTCAGCAAATATTTATTGAATAATACTATATGCCAGATGCTGCCCTAGGCACTTGGGATACAGTGATGAATAAAGCAGACAAAAAAACCCTTGCCCATGTGGATCTTACACTGGGGGTAGGAAATGAAATAAACATAAAAACAGGCCAGGCATGGTGGATCGTTCCTGTAATCCTAGCGCTATGGGAGGCCAAAGCAGGAGGATTGCTTGAGCCCAGGAGTTCAAGACCAGCCTGGGCAACATAGTGAGACCCCCGTCTCTAAAAAAAAAAAAAAAAAATTAGCTGACATGATGGCATGTGCCCATACTCTCAGCTACTCAGGAGGCTAAGATGGAAGGAGTTGCTTGAGCCCAGGATATTGAGACTGCAGTGAGCTGTGATTGCACCACTGTACTCCAGCTGGGTAAAAGAATGAGACACCATGTCAAAGAAAAAACAAATAAGTTGTATAGCATCAATAGTAAGTTATGTAGCTAACAGTGTTAAGTACAATGGAAAAGAAGCAGAGCAGAGGGAATGAGGGGGAATGAAGATGTTGTGGGTGAGGTATGGTCAGAGTAGGTCTCACAAGAAAGTCACATCAGGGCAACGCCTCAGAACAGGGGCAGGGGCTGGGCGTGGTGGCTCATGCCTGTAATTCCAGCACTTTGGGATGCCTAGGCGGGTGGATCACTTGAGGTCAGGAGTTCGAGACCAGCCTGGCCAACATGGTGAAACCCCATCTCTACTAAAAATACAAGACTTAGCCAGGAGTGATGGTGTGCACCTGTAATCCCAGCTACTTGGGATGCTGAGGCAGAAGAATCGCTTGAACCCAGGAGGTGAAGGTTGCAGTGAGCCGATATTGCACCATTGCACTCCAGTCTGGGGGAAAGAGCGAGACTCGGTCTCAAAAAAAGAACAAAACAAAAAAAGCCAGGGGCAGGGAAAACCAGACAAATACGTGGTGGCAGACAATTTCAGCCAGAAGGCAGCTGCTGGGCAAAGCCCCTGGGGTGAGAGCTGCCTGGTGTGTCCCAGGAGTTGCAGTGGAGTGAGTGAGGTTGGTGAAAAATAATGGAGAGGGGCAAGGGGCTGTGCGAAAAAATAAGAGAAATCAGGATGGTTCCAAAATGTTTGGCCTGAGCAACAACAGGATGGGCGGATCATCAGGATGGGGATGGGAAAGGCTTCAGGTGGAAAAGGTTTCAGGGCAGGATCAAGAGTTCAGGCATTGTTTTTTCTTTCTTTTTTATTGTAATAATTTTTTATTGAGATATAATTCACATACCATAAAATTTACGATTTTATTTTATTTTTTTGTTTGTTTGTTTGTGTTTGAGACGGAGTTTCGCTCTTGTTGCCCAGGCTGGAGTGCAATGGCACGATCTTGGCTCACTGCAGCCTCCGCCTTCTGAGTTCAAGCAATTATCCTGCCTCAGCCTCCTGAGTAGCTGGGATTATAGGCATGCACCACCATACCCAGCTAATTTTTTTGTATTTTTGGTAGAGATGGGATTTCTCCATGTTGGTCAGGCTGGTCTCCAGCTCCCAAGATTTCAGGTGATCCACCCGTGTCAACCTCCCAAAGTGCTGGGATTACAGGCGTGAGCCACCGTGCCCGGCCAAAATTTACCTTTTTAAAATATATAATTTAGTGGTCCTTAGTATTATTCACTAGGTTGTACAACTCTTACCACTGTCTAATTCTAGAACATTTGATGACCCCAAAAAGAAACCCCATACACACTGTCCCCTCCCTGACATGAACTTTCTGTCTCTGGAAACTTCCTATAAATGGAAGTATACAATATGTGTCCTTTTGTGACTGGCTTCTTTCACTTAGTATACTGTTTTCAAGGTTCATCTATGTTGTAGCATGTATCAGCACTCCACTCTTTTTTATGGCTGAATAATATTCCATTATACGGATACATCACATTTTATGCATGCATCAGGTGATGGACCTTGGGTGTTGCCACTTTTTGGCTATTATGAATAATGCTGCTATCAACATTCATGTGCAAGTTTTTATGTGAACATATGTGTTCAATACTCTTAAGTATACACCTAGAAGTAGATTGCTGCGTTATATGGTAAATCTATTTTAACTTTTTGAGGAACTGGCAAATTGTTTTCCAAAGCAGCTGTTCCTTTTACATTCTCATCAGCAATATGCAAATTTCTCCAGATCCTTGTCAACACTTATTATTGTCTTTTTCGTTGTGGTCATCCCAGTGGGTGAGAAGTGGTGTCTCCTTGTGATTTTAATTTGTATTTCTCTAATGACTAATGATGTAGAGCATCTTCTCATGTACTTATGGCATGCATTTGCATATCTTCTTTGGAGAAATGTCTATTCAAATTACTTGCCCATTTTTAAATGGGATGTCTTTTTATTGTTGAATTTAAGAGTCCTTTATATATTCTAGATACTAGACCCTTATCAGATATATGATTTCCAAGTATTTTCTCCCATTCTATAGGATGTGTTTTAAAAGTTTACTTTTGGGCCAGATGTCATGGCTCACGTTTGTAATCTCAACACTTTGGGAGGCTAAGGTGGGTGGATCACCTGAGCTCCAGAGTTTGAGACCAGCCTGGGCAATATGGTGAAACCCCATCTCTACTAAAAAAAAAAAAAAAAAAAAAAAAAAAAAGGAAATTAGCCGTACTGCAAACCTAGGGTGGTAGGTAAAGAAGTGAGGCCTAGAGTGTATTTTGGTTTGTTTTCTTGTTTTGCTTTTAAGAGGGGAGAAACAAGCATTATGTTTGTATCAGGTGGGAATTATCTAGTGGGAGAGACGGGAGAATCGCTGGAGTGGTGTCGCTGAGTAGGTGATGGCACGGGACTGATGCCCACCTGGAAGGGTGGCCTTCGATGGGGCACAGACAGTCACCTGTGGAAAAAGGTTGGAAGCAGAGTGTGGGCACAGCCCCGCCCGCGGGCCAAGAGCAAGCCTGTGGGAGTCTGTGCGCCACTGCTGTCAAGGGAAGGATGAAGCAACAGTGCTGGCTGAGAGTGAGGATAGGGGGACGGGTGGGAGTCAGAGGGAGAAAGTATGAAAGGGTGTCTAAGGTAGAGCAAGTGCAGCCGGGGGACAGTGTGAAGCCAGTCAGCACTGAACCTGCAGGTGAGATCTGTGTCACAGGGTTGCCTGTGATCTGTTGCCCCATCACCCAGGCTGGAGTGCAGTGACACGATCTCGGCTCGCTGCAGCCTCAACCTCCCGAGCTCACTCCATCCTCCCACCTCAGCCTCCTGAGTAACTGGGACCACAGGCACACGCCACCATGCCCAGCTAAATTTTGTAATTTTTATAGAGATTGGGTCTACCTATGTTGCCCAGGCTGGTCTTGAACTCCTAGGTTCAAATGATCCTCCCGCCTCAGCCTTCCATAATGCAGAGATTACAGGCATGAGCCACCGCACCCGGCCTATGTCTTGAATTTTAAGCTCGGTTCTGATATCAAAAGCCTTCTATTGCTGGGTTCTTTACTCTCGGTAGCCCTCACTAGACTGTAAGCCCCATGCGGATGTAAACAGCGCTGTCTAGTTCACGGCTGTATCTCAACATCCAGCTCCTCATGCATGGGAGACTCTCAATACATAGCATTGAATCGTTGAATAAATGAATGAAGCAATGAATGAGAAAAGTCCTAGAAGTGGCACGTCTAGATTTCTGAAGCAGCCCCTTCCGCATCCCTGGATGATTCTAGACCTGCTCTCCCCACCCACCCCACATCCCATCCCACCCTCCCCTCTCTAAACCGCCCCCCGCCCCTCACAGCCCAGCCGTGCAGACCTTGCGGCTTTAAGGCCGGCAGGAGCCGAGCCGGGCGGTGATTGGTGGTTTATTCTAAGGCTCAAGTATGAGCTCATCCGCAGCCAATGGCCGCGCTGCACCGGCTGGCCCCGCACGCTGGATGCCGGAAAGCAGCGGCCCGCGGCGCGCTCTGGCGTGAAGGGCCGGTACGTGAGGGGGAGGCCTGGCCCGCGGACCCGGCTCCCAGCTCGGGCAGGTACGGTGTTTTGTCCGGTCCCTTCTCCACCCTCCCAGGCGAGGGGCCCCCTCGGCCGTCCCTCCACCCTGGGACCGTGCACCTTGCGGCTGGGGCCCCGTGGGTTGCACGCGCCGCTTTCTGTGTCCAGGCGGGGCCGGCGGCTCTGCCCGGCAGGACCCTGCCCGGCGGGGTGGACCCTGAAGCCAGTCCTACCCGGGCACCCCCCAGAGCAAGGCCTCAGAGCCTCAAGTTCCCCTGGGCTTGGCCGAGCAGGGATGGTGCGGCCTCCCTCTGCCTCCTGGCCGCATCCTGGCCGGGATTCAGCTCCCCGCCGGCTGAGGCTGTGGGTCTCCCTCCCCGCCCCACCGCCCATCCTGCTCTCTCCTCTTTCTCTCCAAATGACCTGGGGTTGGAAGTTCCGGGTCCTGCCCATTCCCAGTGGGACCTGGGAGAGCAAAGGCGGGGTAGCTTTGTGGGCCTCTCTCTGAGCCCCTTCCCTTCCCGCAGCCACGGCTGTCATCCCTTTGGCCGCCTGGGTCACACATTGCTCAGGAAGAAGCTGCTGTCAGGTCCTTGGAGGCCACATGACCTTCTCAAAAGTAAAGCCAGGAGGACAGAGCGACCCTCCCTGGGGCTGGGTCACCCTGCCCTCTTCTACCCCCCATCCAACGTGGCACCGAGTCTGCCACTCAGTCATTCCGTCTGCCAACAGTTCTTACAGCCCAGCTCTGTGCTCTGCTCTCTGCTGGCTCCAGGAGGGGTCCTCACTCGCTGACCACACTGACCTCAGGACCAAGGGAACAAAACACAGCAGGGGCAATCCATCCGGTCCACGGAGAAGTGCTAAACCCCAAAGGGTAAATGAGATTCCCACAGGAGGAGCAGGGAGGAGACAACAGGCAGGGTGGAGGGAACAGCATGAGGAACAGCATTTGAGCCCAGCGTGTGTGGCCTCCATGTGCTGAATGCGTACTGGATACCAAGCTTGCTCTACGGAGGCCCTGTGAAGGTGGCTGTGGATCACAGATATCCTCAGCTCTCTCCAGAGCTCAACACAGTACCAGATGCTCCAGAAATGTTTGCTGAACTGAATTTGACTGGAAAGGAAAACAGAGCCCCAGGCCTGCGCGGTGGCTCACGTCTATAATCCCAGCACTGTGGGAGGCCGAGGCAGACGGATCACTTGAGGTCAGGAGTTCAAGACCAGCCTGGCCAACATGGTAAAACCCCGTCTCTACTACAAATACAAAACATAGCCAGGTGTGGTAGGCAAGTGCCTGTAATCCCAGCTACTTGGGATGCTGAGGCAGGAGAATTGCTTGAACCTGGGAAGTGGAGGTTGCAGTGAGCCGAGATCGCACCACTGCAATCCAGCCTGGGTGACATAGCGAGACTCTGACTCAAAAAAAAAAAAAAAAAAGAAAAGAAAACAGAATCCTGAGCTGGTTATGATTCTATCATTACCACCACTTAGGAAGGACCTGGATCCATGAAAAGACCTTACCCACTTTAGCTCTGACCCCTTCAGTCTTTGGAGGTGAATATGAGTCTCCCTGACATTCAGTGGAGGAAACTGGGGTGCGGATAGGGGTGTTGCTACCAGCTAGGTCCTCCCTAATGCATTTGCCCATTCCAGGTCCCAGCTGCAGGGCAGCCATGAGCCTGGTGGCCTGTGAGTGCCTGCCCAGCCCCGGCCTGGAGCCTGAGCCTTGCTCACGAGCACGGTCCCAAGCTCACGTGTACCTGGAGCAGATTCGCAACAGGGTGGCTCTGGGAGTGCCTGACATGACAAAACGTGACTATCTGGTGGATGCGGCCACGCAGATCCGGCTGGCCCTGGAGCGCGATGTTAGTGAGGACTATGAGGCGGCCTTCAACCACTATCAGAATGGCGTGGACGTGCTGCTCCGTGGCATACACGGTGAGGACCGGGGCTGGGCAGGGCTGGGGTGGGTGGGGAAGGGCCAGTGCAGGGCTCTTCCTGTCACCCATCTGTCTTGTCCCCTGTCCATTTGTACTGAGTGAGCACGGCACTATGCTGGCCTGCAGGGCCTCCATAAAAGACAATGATAGCTGGCACTTATTAAGCAGTTTCTACATGCCAGGTACTATTCTAAGGGCTTCATGTAGATTCATTCATTTGAGTGTCACAGTAATAGAAATTACTATATATGTTGTTGTATGTTGTTCCAAGCACACAGGAACCATTTTTTACATTCTCATGTTCCAGATGAGGAAGCTGAGGCATGGGGCAGTTCAGTAGCTTGCTCAAGGCTCCACAGCTATCAAATGGCACAATTGGGGTTTCACTTCACAGGCTGTGTACTTGGCCCACTACACCTGACTGTTCCTGGAGCTGGGCTGGGCTCCTGCCCTCTGGGAGTTTGCATTCTAGTGGGGGGAGACTGATGAGTTGATTTGGACCATTATAGTCTCAGGTAGGAAGAGGATTAGTGGGGAAGTGAAGAGAGGAAAGAGGGAAACTGAGGTCAGACTGGGCCGGCCTAGAGCATTTTCTAGATGTTAGATCTCTAATCTGAGCACTGGAGAATGGTAGGTGCGTTATCCAGCTGAAGAACTGGCTAGAGTTCCAGAAAGAACATTCAAGGCCTAGAGGCGAGAGGGGAGGTCCCTCCAGGGCAGCATGAGGAACTTCCATGTCAGGGGAGAGGCTGGTGCTGAGGCCATTTTGAGACGCCTGTGGGCCCTGGTGGCCAGGCCTTGAGGTGGGCACTGGGCCCTTCCTGCCCTCTGGCTGAAGAGACCCTTCAAGCCTGGGCTTCCAGTCTGTCCAGCAAATTCCTTTATCCCCCGATCCTGGTCCCCACCCTAGCCTTCTTTACACTGGGCATCAGAGATGGAAGAAGCAATGCTCTCTGGAATCTTCTATCCCCTCCTCTGAAAAAATGGATGGGGAAATCCCCACCCTGTCCCTTCCCAGGGTGTGACAGCCGCCAGCAAGGCGGTGGGTGCTAATGGTGAAGTGCTGTCTGCTGAGGAGTGACCCTGGTTCCTAACCTCCTCCTGCCAGCTCCCTTCCTCCTCCTTCCTGGCTGGCCCCCCACCCCAGAGGAGGGGCTCATGAAGCAATCTGGGGGCAGAATCTGCCGAACCAGCCTTAGAAACAGGAGCTCACTCCTTGGGAGGGTAGAGGGCAGGCAATGGGAGCTGGAACTCCAGCCCTCCGAGGCCATGGCTGGGGACCCTGGTGACTCTTGTCTCCCACAGTTGACCCCAACAAGGAGCGACGTGAGGCTGTGAAGCTGAAAATTACCAAATACCTGCGGCGGGCAGAGGAGATCTTCAACTGCCACCTGCAGCGGCCGCTGAGCAGTGGAGCCAGCCCCAGCGCGGTGAGGAGACCCCCCCCACCCAAAGGCCTGAGCGGGAGGAGGGCTCTGAGGGGAGACTGCGGAGGCCCCGACACCCACAGGCCCGCCCTGGGCTGCAGGGCAGAGGCCGGCAGTGGAAGTCATTATTTGGGCTGGAGTGTGCCAGGGCGGCCCATCTTCTTTTCCTCCTGGCTTCCTCTCTCTCCCACGCCTCATGGTTCATTCATTTTCAAACAACTCACTGAGTCATCTCCAGTCGTCTGCCTCCCTCACAGAGCACTTGCCATGTGTGCACATAGACATCTGCCAGCCTTGCACACCGTTCAATTTACACGCTTATGTGTGTCCACACTCAGAGCCTCCTGATTCTGTCTCTTGTGAACCGGCATGCAATTTGGAGCAGACCCCGACACCCTTGTGTGCACACACACATATCTGTGTGCATGTATGTGCACACACACAGTCCCCACATGGCTTTCTCTAAACCAGTAAGTGTTCAGTGAGGGTGGAAAATGCACGCACGCTTCTTACCCCACGGTTGCGCGTACTCACGCAGCCCTCCTTGGCTCACTGCATCCTGTACGGCTGCCTTTCCCCAAAGTAGGTGCTTGGTCTTCAAGGCACGTTCCCTGAGACTCACACGTTCCCAGGTTACTTCCCTATCCCCACCTTGGGAGCATCTGCATCTTTTGAGATGGAGTCTCGCTTTGTCACCCAGGCTGGAGTGCAGTGGCGTGATCTTGGCTCACTGCAACCTCCGCCTCCCAGGTTCAAGCGATTCTCCTGCCTCAGCCTCCCAAGTAGCTGGAGTTACAGGCAGGCGCCACCATGCTCGGCTAATTTTTGTATTTTAGTAGAGATAGGGTTTCACCATGTTGGCCAGGCTGATCTCAAACTCCTGACCTCAAGTGATCTGCCCGCCTCGGCCTCCCAAAGTGTTGGGATTACAGGCGTGAGCCACTGCGCCTGGCCTAGATGGGGCTTTTGAGAGGGGGCTTCTGAAGCCCAGAGAACTTCATGGGCCTTGGACGGGCTCAGCAGAGAGGTCGGCCTGACCACCCTGGACCAGTATGGGTGCCTATCGGTAAAGGCCAGCTTTTCCACCCAGCCTGCCACTGTGGGGTGGGGCCTGCCTATACCCCTGCCCTCCCAGCTGTTCTCCTTGCATCCAGAAGCCCCTGCCTGATGCCTGGTGAGAAGGCCATGGCCAAGGAGGGCTCGGCCCTGAGGCTGTGTGTGGCCTGTCTCCCTCCTCTGCAGGGTTTCAGCAGCCTGAGGCTCCGGCCCATTCGCACGCTGAGCTCTGCCGTGGAGCAGCTGAGGGGCTGCAGGGTGGTCGGGGTCATCGAGAAGGTGAGTGAGTGGACACTCGCCTTGCAGGAGGGAGACAGTGTATGCAATTTGGGGTGGCGGTGGGGAGAGAGACATGATATGCTGAAAGCAGGTCTGTAGCAGTGGCCCCCACTCCTCCAGAGGAGGTGGGCAGGGGTCAGTGGGGAGTGCGAGTGCAGTTGTTTCCAGCAGTTCCCACCTCTCCCCCATCCCTAACACGCATGACTTTGGTCCTGGGTCCTGGGGAGGAAAATGCAGGGAACGGGAAGAGGCTGATTGGCCAGCCACAGTGGCTCACACCTGGAATCCCAGCACTTTGGGCCAAGCACCAGGCCAAGGCAAGAGGACTGCTTGAGCCCAGGAGTTAGAGGCCAACCAGGGCAACATAGCAAGACCCCATCTCAAATAAAATAAAATATAAAATAAAATAAAATAAAATATAAAAAGAAGAGGCAGACAGGCCCTTTCCACAGCCCTGCAGCTCAGATCCAGAAAACCTGCTCCTTGGGAGAGTTGGGACAGAAACTGCAGGAGGAGCGAGGAGCTATGCCCAGGGCACCCTGCCAGTCCTCGAGGCCCTGCTCACTCCCACTTCCCGCTTCCCACAGCACCCCCACCACACTCACCCTGAACCCCAGGGCTGCAGCCAAGACGCTCTACCGAGCACAGCTGGGGACTTCCTGCGGCTGGGACGTGCTCAACTCCAGAAACCTGTCCAGAGAGGGCCCGTTCTGGCCCGTCCTTGCCCAGGGCCTTGGCAAGTCTGCCCTTTTTTTCCTCTCCTGACCTAACTGTAACTTTACCCTGTCCCAATGCTATCTCGCATGCTTTGCCTTATTCAGGGCAGACAAGAAGATAGGAGGCGACGTCCCAACCCTTACTCGGGGCACTCATTGTTAGAGTGCTTCTGATTAGAAGGACAGACAATGAGGTCAAATCAGAGTCCAGCCAGTATGAGGTTCCCCTCTTCCCCTGAACCCTGGAATAGTCACCCAAGAAGTTCTTTACCAAGCTGGCTAAATGGAGAGCTTCCTAAAAATACAGATGCCCAAGAATCTGTTATTTAACATACTCACTGGGTGATTTTGGTAGATCTGGGGGCCCACAGAGAAAAGGAGACAGTCCTGTACTTCCCACAGGCAAGAGGATGACATGCTGCCTGAGGGAAGGCCCCGCGCTGGGCACCACCCCGGGTGGCCACGGGCAAGCCCCCTGCTCTCTGAGCTGTGGTTTCTTCCTCTGGAAAGTGAGATGAGAATTCTCCCCCAATGGGGTGATCTGGGAGGTAAAACAAAACAATTTTGGGGAAAGACCTGGCACATGCTGTGACACTGAGTACGTGCTTGATGGCTCTAAATACAAGTGACAGGAGTGAGCTGGGAGGCACGCAGGCTTCTGCTCCCGGGCCTTACTCCAGCTGCTTCTCCTGGGTCCCTGGGGCAGGTCCCAGACTGTCAGCGCAGGCCCTGCCAGCTTCCATCTGCCACGGTCCCCTCCCCACTGCTTGAGTGTCAGTGGCCACGACCCAACCTTGGCTGAGCACAGCCGTTCCCAGGGACTGGCCGGGAGGTGACTGACACCGTGCCTCCCGGTACGATCCCGCTGAACCATAGGTGTTGTGGTGAGAGGGGTTCTGAGCTGAGTATGATAGGAAAACAGCGAGTTGAAGTTATATGGCTTTGTTTCTTAATGATCGGAGTTCTTAGAGTGTTTAGGTGCAGATGTACACTGTGACACAGAATTCCCCAAACTTGTTTAGCCTCAGGAAAGTGGTTTAGGAATCCAGTGTTTCGAGGCCCCTGCAGATGGAAAGCACAAATTAAAGCCAAGCCCAACCATTTTTTTTTTTTCTTGACACAGGGTCTCGCTCTGTAGCTCAGGCTGGAGTGCAGTGGCGTGATCTCGGCTCACTGCAGCCTCGACCTACCAGGCTCAAGCAATCCTCGCACCTCAGCCTCCTGAGTAGCTGGGACCACAGTCTCAAGCCCTGCTATTGTCTTCTATTTTTTGTAGAGAGATCTCGCTGTGTTGCCCAGGCTGGTCTCGAACTCCTTGCCTCAGGTGATCCTCCACCTCCGTTTAGGCCTCCCAAAGCACTTGGGATTACAGGCGTGAGCCAGTGGCCCGCCGCATTCTATTTCAGGACTACCCTTCTTTTTTTTCTTTTTTATCCTGTCTTGGGTACTCAACTTAAGGACTTCACCTCCCTCCTGAGATCCTACTTCCTTTCCCTGTGTCATGCCCAAGCCAGGAGCATCACTTTCCTCAAATTAGGAAAGGTGTTACTGCCCCTGGGCCTGGGTCCCTGCAGCCAGACTTGGATATACTGTCACCCTTGTTCCATTCCACAGCTGTGCCCAGACAGATCTGGGCAAGTGGGCAGTGCCAGCCAGCAGCAACCCTCAGGCCCAGGGAGGAAGCAAAGGGCTTGCTCGGGATGATGCTTGAGTGACCCCTAACGTGTCCGGCTGTTAGGATAACTAAGGGCTGAAGAGATGGTGGCAGGGAGCAGTGAGGTGGGTGGGTCGGGACTTGGCAAGCAGCCAGAATACCCGAGGGCCTGGCCTCAGAGCCTGGGGGCCAGGGAGACATCACCGGGTATTTGCTGAGCCTCGTGCAGGAGCCAGGCTCTGAGACAGGGTGGAGGAAGAAAAAGAAGGTCATCCAAGTCACTTCTTCTTTTATTTGGCTTAAACACAGGGGTGTTTTTTTTGTTGTTTGTTTTTTGGGTTTTTTTAGTTGTTACCAACATTTGAAAATGTGCAGATTCTTATAAAAGTCCAGATTTCCTGCTTCTCTTGAAAAAATCAGATCTGGAAACGCTGGCCTCCCATTCCCCTGTGGCAGCAGGGAGTGGAGGAGGAGATGCCTGCCTTAGACGGGGCACCAGCCCTCCTTTCTGCGCCTCCACCCTGCCTATTTGCTCACATGCCTGGCCCCTGTGGACCTTTGAGTTTAAGAACTTGTTTGAAACCTTTAGGCTTGTTTGTTCCATGGGAGAGTCCTCCTGGGATTTTGATACTTTGTGCATCTTTAAAGAAAAGGTTTACCGTGTTTCACCAAAGCTTTAATTGTCCCTCTGTCCCAAGAATTCAGTGGGTCTCTTTATTTAAAACAATTGCTCTTTTTTAAAAGGTGAGAGAAAGCACTCAGAACTGCCTTCCATCTTCCCAAATGGAAGGCTCACCCGACAGTTGTATGGAACCTTCTCATTTACAGAGCTGTGGCATTAAATCCTCACAGTCACCATGGGGGAACGAAGCCTTATAGGGTGCTGTTCAACACAGTAGTCACTAGGCACATAAGCCTCTGTGCATTCATATTCATTAAAATGAAGTCATCTGTGTCTCAGTTGCACCAGTCACATTTCAAGTGCTCAATGGCCCCATGTGGCTACTGGCTTCCATATTGGACAGTGCAGACATATAATCCTGCCATCATGATAAGAAGTTCAATTGGACAGTGCTGCATTTTAATACTTGTCCTACAGAGAATTAAACTGAGGTTCAAAGAAGTCAGCGGGGCTGGGCGCAGCGGCTCACACCCATAATCCCAACACTTTGGGGAGCCAAGGTGGGTGGATCACCTGAGGTCAGGAGTTCAAGACCAGCCTGACCAACATGGTGAAACCCCGTCTCTACTGAAAATACAAAATTAGCTGGGTGTGGTGGCACATGCCTGGAATCCCAACTACTTGGGAGGCTGAGGCAGGAGAATCGCTTGAACTTGGGAGGCAGAGATTGCAGTGAGCTGAGATCACACCATTGCACTCCAGCCTGGGCAACAACAG